>NT_187638.1:0-157053 GCF_000001405.40 Homo sapiens | reverse complement strand
GAATTCCCCATGAGTCCTGTGACCTCAGCCCACACGGGGACCTACAGGTGCTACGGCTCACTCAGCTCCGACCCCTACCTGCTGTCTCACCCCAGTGGCCCCGTGGAGCTCGTGGTCTCAGGTGAGGGCGCTGACCCTGTCCTCTCTGAGCTCAAAGGCTCAGCTCAGGCCCTGCCCCCAGCAGAGCTCTGGACACTAAGGAAAGAGGGGAGTGAAGGGAGAGGGTCCGCAGGGGAGGGTCCAGCCCATGGGAAGATGGAAATAGACAGGGACCTCCCACCCCTGGCTCCCACCCCTGAAGTCTCAGTAGAGTAAAGTGCAGGGAGGGCTGGGAGGAGACGGGGGGTGAACCTCAAAGGAGTTGAGATTAGACTGAGGGTGGAAGACGGAGGCCCCACCTGCTCCCATCCTGGTGTCTCCACCTCAGAATCAGAGCCTCTGTGTCCCAGTCCCCAACAGACGCCCTCCTGGAGAGAGAAGCATCCAGGCTGCCGGTGCCACCTGCATCCACCCCCGACCCCCCCCCACCCCGCCCCACTTCCTGCTTTCCCCTGCAGCCTCCCCAGCACTCAGCGCACACCTGAGCCTCACAGGGACTTGCACGTGCTCCCGCAGCAGCTCAGGGAATGTGCACCGCTCCTCTTCTGCGCCGTTGACATTTTTTATTTGGGTTTTTAAAATCTCATATTGGCCTTTTTGTCCAAGCTGGTGAAAGTAGATTTGCAGCATCACCTATTTTTATTCTCACCCGGTTTCGTAATAGCCCTGATCTCACGTGCTCCCTGAGGTTTTGTAAACTTCAGGTAGAAATGTGGACTTCCTTCGTTCTGGACATTTGCTATGGAGGGGGTAGGGCTTATCTTTTCAGAAAAAGTCAAATGACTGGTACCACTCCTTGAAACCCTACAGCACTTTCCAGACCTCAGAGGGAGGGAGAGAGAGGCAGAGACAGAGACAGAGAGACAGAGAGAGAGATATTGGGGCCGCTCTTTCCTGGCCGGTTCATCCTGGCCTATTCTCAATCCACCAAGGCCCCGAAGCTCATCTCCCCTCCTCCTCTGCCTCCTCCTCCACCCTGTAGACAAGCGGCCATTCCTTTCTGAAGAACAGGCTGAGACCTTTCTGGGACCTGCTCTTTCTGGAGCCTCTGTTGCTCCCTGTCTGGGTCTCCACACGCCTCCTTCCTGGCCCTTTTTCCTATTGAGGAATCAGCTTCAATGTCACCTCCAAGTGTGACCTTCACTGACGACACAGCTCAGCCCAGTCCTGCCTGCTTCTCATTTATGTCAAGTAATTAACCAACCTACACCATGCGGCTGAATTCCTTCTCTCTCTCTTCCACTCTCTGCATATACGTGTGTGTGTGTGTGTGCGCGTGTGTGGTCACACCAACATCTTACGTGACATTGAAACCTAGTTATCCGTATATCTATACAAATAATATATATTCACACATAAATATAGGTCTCTACCAATATATCTAAAACCATTGCTACGACTAGTAAATTTCCACTGCTGTGTTTCTATATGTTTGCTGTTTGTCTCCAGGTGAACCCACACTTCAAGAAGGCAGAGATAGTTTTTAAGGCCCACTATATATATAAAACAGATATATATTTGTGTTTGTGTTTTTCTGTGTGTGTATCACATTCTACCTGTTGCTGCCTATACGAATAATTAGCTACCTAGAGATTAAATGGACAATGAAACTCCAGGTGAAGTGGCTGAGGGCATGAAGGGGAGGCAGCCCCAGAATTTCACCCCTTTGTGCTTCTGACATTGAGGCTCCCCTGATGACTAACCCTCATCCACGGAGCCTGGGTCCTCAGCTGGTGGATCCGTGAAACTCTCATCTCCGGGGGAGTTGGCTCATGTTCTCCTGTGTCCCAGGCTGCACAGAGAGCACACAGGCCTTAGTGACCTCTGTACTGGGGACCACTTTCCTTGCAGATCCTGAGCTCTCAGGATGCAGGAAAACTCTCTCCCAGATGACTCAGGAGCAATGTTTAAATCCATAGAACACAGGAAAACTGAAATCGTTCAATGAGGAGACTAGAGGGAATCCTGCTAGCGGAGGAAGAGGTTTTTTTTTTTTTTTTTTAGAAATTCTGTAAAAGTCACATCATGAGACATTAAGTAATAAAAAAAAAATTGCAGAGCCCAGGTGAGAGGCTGGGCTCAGGTCTCTTTTTCTCTGTTTTGATTCTCTGGAGCAGCTGATACCCTCAGCCCATCACAAAACAAGTCTGACTCTGAGACTGGTATGTGAGGAGATACTCTCAGTGATGGGGCTGGCACTGAGGGTTGGGTCCTGTGAAGGGGAGGTGGGTGCCCTGGGTGGACAATCTGATCCACCCTGACCTCTGTGACCTCTTTGTCCACCATCCCCAGCCTCACACCTTCAGGATTACGCAGTGGAGAATCTCATCCACATGGGCGTGGCTGGCTTGATCCTGGTGGTCCTCGGGATTCTGTCATTTGAGGCTTGGCACAGCCAGAGAAGCTTCCCAAGATGCAGCCGGGAGGTGAACAGCAGAGAGGATAATGTACTTTATAGAGTCGTGAAGCCTCAGGAACAGATCTGATGATCCCAGGAGGTTCTGGAAGAAAATCTAGGGCCGATGCTATCTGGACTGTCTGCTGGTCATTTCCAGAGGAAGGAATCAATGTCCGAGTGCAGGGACATTTTCTGGGGTGATCCATGGAGAACCATTAAAATGTGATACCTTTCCTCTCCATTAATGTTGACTTTCCTTGGTTGGATCTGCCTCTTTTCCCACACTTAGACATGAGGCTCCATCCCACATGGCAGCGTTGGGTCCACACCTCTGCACACCTGCATGCTCTGGTCCATGGCGTGTCACACAGTCCTCTTCATTTCTCATTGCCACACTTCCTGGTGTACTTTACTGGGTCTTCATGTCTTCAGTTCAGAGTTCCGCACCTGGTTTAGGAACTAATTCAACGGGAGAAGATCAGAGTCCGACCAGGAAAAGATAAATGCACCGTGATGCCCTCACCTCCTGTGTGGACCCTATGAGCTCTTCCCTCCTTATCAGATGCTATCTGTGTAGTTTCTCCTGAAATATCACCACCTGGAATCAACACACTGGCATTTGAAGTCACGACCCAATGGTATGCTAATTCTGAAAAAGACATTTTTTGAAATGCTATGATTAGTGGCATTTACCAATTTCCTTGACGTAAATTCTTTTTTCATGGCCATAATCAAGATGCCAACGAGACATCCCTGAATGCAGGGTTGGGAAGCGTTGGACAGACTTGTCTTCACTCATAAGCACCAGGCATCTGATAGCTCACGTATACATCTTATTACCTTCCATTTTAGAGTGAATAATCATTTCTACTTCAGTATTTTGGCACAGGTAAAAGCAGTCCCATTACTGCGCGTATACCCAAAGGAATATAAATCATTCTATTGCAAAGATACATGCACACATGTGTTCATCGCAGCACTATTCACAATAGCAAAGACATAGAATCAACCCAAATGCCCATCAATGATAGACTGGATAAAGAAAATGTGAGACATATACACCACGGAATACTATGAAGCCATAAAAAGAAACAAGATCATGTCCTTTGCAGGGACATGGATGGAGCTGGAAACCATTATCCTCAGGAAACTAACACAGGAACAGGAAATCAAACGCTGCATGTTCTCACTTACAAGTGGGTGCTGAACAATGAGAATGCGTGAACACAGGGAGGGGAACAACACACACTGGGGCCTGTCGGGGGGGGGGTGGGGTAGGGGTAGGGAGAGCATTAGGAAAAATAGCTAATGTATGCTGGGCTTAATACCTAGGTGATGGGTTGACAGGTGCAGGAAACCACCATGGCGCACATTGACCTATGCAATAAGCCCACACATTCTGCACATGTACCCCGGAACTTAAAATAAAAATAAAAATTAAAATTAAATTATGACACCATGATCCTAGCATATCCAAAAAAGACAAAAATGCCAATATCAAATGTCGGAGAAAATAGGGCTGAATTAAAAATCCAATACAACGCCGGGCGCAGTGGCTCACGCCTGTAATCCCAGCACTTTGGGAGGCCAAGGTGGGTGGATCACTTGAAGTCAGGAGTTTGAGACCAGCCTGGCCAAACGTGGTGAAACCCTGCCTCTACTAAAAATACAAAAATTAGCCGGGTGTGGTGGCACTCGCCTGTAGTCCTAGCTACTAGGGAGGCTGAGGCAGGAGAATCACTTGAACCCGGGAGGCGGAGGTTGCAATGAGCTGAGATCATGCCACTGAACTCCAGCCTGGGTGACAGAGCGAGACTCCGTCTCAAAAAAAAAAACAAAAAAAAAAAACCCTCAAAAGCTCAGGCAGCAAAAGCAAAAATAGGCAAATGAGATCATAGCAAACTGCAAACCTTCTGCACAATCAAGGAAACAAACAGCAGAGTGAAGAGACCACCTACAGAATGGGAAAGAATATTTGCAAGCAAGAGATTAATCTCCAGAAAATACAAGGAGCTCAAACAATGCAGAGGTTTTGAAGGATGGTGATGAGAAGGTTCTGCTACTTACAGAAAGGAAGTTTAGGAGAAACAAAACCACAAACCTAGGTGGTGGGATGGCTTGATCTGCTTCTGTCTGTGACTCACTTAACAGTCTTAAACACATCTCCCTAAGCCTCCTTCCCCCGGTGGGATTCCTGGGTCTTGTGAGGACCTCATCGGTCCCTCTGGTAAACCCAGGCACAGAGTGGAGCAGCTCTTGTTTTCTCAGGATCTTCCCCTTCACATACAATTAACGCACCCACACGATGCTACTCTTAGAACCCTTCAAATAAATGTTTCCCGGTTCATTCACTACCAGAATCCAAGCTCAGCTTGTTCCCCAGCTTAGGACTGAGTGGTATCTTGGAGGTAGTTTCCACCATAGCCCCCTTCCTCTGCTATAAGGCTCAGTGACACACCAGAGACACCCCCTCCAGCCAGGCTCCTGGAAGGTCTGGATGAAGACTGGGATGCTGAGGCATTGCTCAGCAATGTGGCTTAACTCAAACTTCTATGTGAAACTTCCAACCACTTTCAGCAAGGGGTCACTTCCAGCGTCTTGGGGTGTGAGGGCACTTTGGTTGGTCCCTGCAATATCAGACCCTATAAAGATCCTACAAACATGTTGCAGACTCTTTGAAGATTCTGGCACTTTCAGACATGCTGTTGGGAAATGGTGACACCCATAACCTTCTAGTTCCAGGACAGGGAGCCTTAGCCCAGGGCTATGTTTTCTGAGGGTCCTCAAAGTAAACAGTTCTATGTGCCAGGAGAACCCTAAATCTCATATGGTTCTAAGGGCAGAAAGCCACACACGCACCGGCAAAAAGCAAGAGATTCAAGGAAAAGCTGAGCAAAGACAGACAGGAAAACACACACATGATGAGCCAGCTTGTAGAGCTAGAACTGAGATGGAGAGAGGCACGAGTGGGTAACAGAGTGTGCTCCCCAGAACAGGTGGAGAGAATGCCTTTTTCATGCCCTGAGGATAGGCTGGGTAAGGCTTGTGCTCGACAGTCAAGGACTATTTTTTTCCCCAGGCGTCTACAAGAGACCTTCCTTCTCAGCTCAACTGTGCCCTGCAGTAAGTAATGATGGAGAGAATGTGACTTTGCTCTGCAGCTCTGGAAGCTCATTTGACCTGTGCCTTCTAACGAGGAAGGTAAGGCCCCTGGACACTGGCTCACTGGGGTGCAGAGACAGAGTGGGGCATTCAGGCCAACTTCTCTCTGGGTCTTGGGGCTGGTGATGGGACCTCTAGATGCTGCAGCTCTCTGTCGATGGCTCTGCCTGTGAGTGATCAGCCCTAGATGACCACTGTTACTGGGGGTAGCCCATGCCTGCTGCATGCCCTGTGAAACACTAAATCATATAGCCACGTCTGAGGGACAGCCTGCTGGAGACATGGGAATCTTAGGGATTCCAGACAAAATGAAGCAATGAGAAACACAAAGAGGAAAAGAGAGGTTGAGTATGACAGTGGTGTCAGGGTGTAGGGTGGTAGACAGGGCAGCTCCACACTCTCCACTGCTTCCTGTCTGGAGGCCCACTTTGGGGTCCTACTTATCCAGGTGAGTGAAGGAAGAGGTCAGGACAAACACAGGAGGTGAAGCCAGATACAGTGTGGGGAGATAAGCAGTGGCCTCAGCCTCTAGCCCTTTTCCATCTTCCAGAAGCCCCTCCTGAGCTCTCATCACAGACAGATTTCCCATTTGGAAACCCAGATATTTATCATGCCGGGGGGGGGAGGCAATGTCTCTTGATTATGGGGACTTTCCATCACCAGGCACCTGCTAGTCCTCTCTATACCTTCCCTTCAGGAAAGGAATTGTCCCTCATGGGATTCCAGGGAAGAGACCCCAGGACCCCTATCAGTCACTAGGGAGATGACAGAGTAGAGGAAGTCAGGGGACCAACCCTCCACAGAGAATGGTCCTACTTCAGTGGGGTGAGGGAAACTCTCACTCATCCATTTGCTGTCCTGTTACCTCGGAACCCTAAGAGAACTTGTTAGTCACACACAGAATCTACCCCTGAATGTGGTGTGCAAAGTGGGGCTCTTAGCCTCCAGTGTGAAGTCCCTGGGAAGATGGAATGTCCCTGTGTGAGTGAAGGCTGTGCCACCGCCCAGCTATGTGGCCTTGGGCTAGGCAACCCCTCCCAGGTCCCCAGTTCCCCATCTGCATCGGAGACTGTGGCCAGTGCGGGAATCCACAAGGCCCTTCAGCCTCCAAAGCTCTGGGACAGAGGCCTCGTCCACAGGGAGGAAGGGGTCAGAGTGACCTGAGTCCCTACTCAGGAGCGAGTCTAATCCACTCTCCATCGGGGCCTGTGGGGAAGGGAAGATGAAGAAACGGAGCCTGCACCTGGCTATGTGGGCGCAGTAGATTAAGGGGAGGATGAGGGTTCCTGAGAGTGTGTCATGTGGCAGAGACCCTGCAGCACACTCAGGAAGGGCTCTGGAAGGATCCAAGGAAATTTTCCAAGAAGAGGGCAGAGTAAGTGACAGAGACCCTCAACCATGGATTTCACTGAGGTGCCCATGATGACATAGGGAGAACGGGGGTGTCTGGGCAGGAAGAATATCGTCAGGGTGAAATGAATGGTGATGAGCTTCGTGTCAGAGCTCCTGTGGAGGGAGGGGCCTGGCCCACATGAAAAGGTCTCTGATCCTACCCCAGCCCCCAGCCCCTGTTCTCCAGGATGACACTGTGGGAATTCCATCAGGAGGGGTGTGATAGGGCTGGTCTTCCTGGCTCGATTCACAACACTGGCTGGGGACTGGGAACCCATGGGGAGCCACAGGTGGAAAGGGAGGAGCCTCAGTGAACCCAGCAGGAACAAACATAGGGTCTGACATGATGGAACTCACTTCCTGGAGGCCAAGAAAGACACTTGCAGGACAAAAGGGAAAGAGCGGTGGCTTGCTTAGTTCCATTCACTGACAACCCACAGGAGATGTCCAGTCCTTTTTTGATTTATTATTTTATTTTATTATATTTTATTTTATTTTATTTTATTTTGACATGGAGTTTTGCTCCTATTGGCCAGGCTGGAGTGCAATGGCACGATCTTGACTCACTGCAACCTCCACCTCTCAGGTTCAAGCGATTCTCCTGCCTCAGCCTCCTGCATAGCTGGGATTACAGGCGACTGCCACCACAGCCAGGTAATGTTTGTATTTTTAGTAGAGATGAGGTTTTGCCATCTTGGCCAGGCTGGTCTCAAACTCCTGATCTCATGTGATCCGCCTGTATCAGACTGCCAAAGTGTTGGGATTACAGGCGTGAGCCACCACACCCAGCCTTTTGTATTTTTAGTAGAGATGGGGTTTCACCATGTTGGTCAGGCTGGTCTTAAACTCCTGACCTCAGGTGATCCATCCACCTCGGCCACCCAAAGTGCTGGGAGTACAGATGTTAGCCACCGTACCCAGTGAGAGTTTCAGTGCTCTATCGGATTCCCTGCCTACTCCATGTTGCATGTAATGTTCCACCTCAGGGATGTTTCTCTCCTTTCTGTCTCCTTCCTCTTCTCCTTTTCCTTTTTTCTTTCTAATTTTTATTTTTTTGAGACAGAGCCTTGCTCTGTTACCCAGGCTAGAGTACAGTGGCACGATCCCAGCTCACTGCAACCTCTGCCTCCTGGGTTCAAGAGATTCTCCTGACTCAGCCTCTCGAGTAGCTGGGATTACAGGCACACGCCATCACACCCAGCTAGTTTTTGTATTTTTAGTAGAGACGAGGTTTCACCATGTTGGCCAGACTGGTCTTGAACTCCTGCCCTCAGGTAATCCACCCGCCTGTGGCCCCCCAAAGTGCTGGGATTACAGGCGTGAGTCACCACTCCCAGCCCTGAATGATCTTTCCTCTTTAGTGTGTTCTCACAACCACCTCTCACTGAGCTTTCTTGTTTTTTGTTTTTGTTTTTGTTTTTGTTTTTGTTTTTGTTTTTGGCAGAGTCTGGCTTTGTTGCCTATGCTGGAGTGCAGTGGTGCAATCTCAGCTCACTGCAACCTCCGTCTCCTGGGTTCAAGCGATTCTCCCACCTCAGCCTCCTGAGTAGCTGGGATTACAGGCACCCACCACCACACCCAGCTAATTTTTGCATTTTTAGTAGACACAGGGTTTCACCATGTTGGTCAGGCTGGTCTCGAACTCCTGACCTTGTGATCTGCCAGCCTCAGCCTCCCAAAGTGCTGGAATTACAGGCATGAGCCACCACTCCCAGCCCTGGATTATCTTTCCTCTTTAGTGTGTTCTCACAACTACCTCTCACTGCTGGGTTTTCTCTCTTTCTTTTTTTTTTTTTTTTTTTTTTTTTTTTGAGACAGTCCGGCTTTGTTGCCCAGGCTGGAGTGCAGTGGCGCGATCTCGGCTCACTGCAAGCTCCACCTCCCAGGTTCAAGCGATTCTCCCACCTCAGCCTCCCTAGTAGCTGGGATTACAGGCGCATGCCAGCACACCCAGCTAGTTTTTGTATTTTTAGTAGAGACAGGGGTTTCACCATGTTGGTCAGGCTGGTCTTGAACTCCTGACCTTGTGATCTTCCTGCCTCGGCCTCCCAAAGTGCTGGGATTACAGGTGTAAGCCACTGCACCCAGCCAGCTTTCTCATTCTTATCCCTTAGTTCTCTGCCAGGGAATAAGATAGAAACCATTCCCTCAACCACATTCTAGTCATGGTCCCTATTCTCATGTTTCCACTTCTCTCTCTTTGGTAATAAATCAATTAATTGAGAAACAAGTAGCTAAATGTTCATCTTCTGCTAGTCTGCATCCCCTTATTTTCCCAGAGCCTCCCCTAATGAAACTGACTTTATTTACTGAACGCAGGAAATGGGTCTCTCCAGATCAGGATGACTTTCTGCTGGGAAATATTTGTCTTTGCATCAGTGGGGAAAAAGAAAGCCGATGTCATGAGTGGAGGCTCTGAGAAAATAAGGGCTGTGTTTTCAGTTTAGACCCAGCTAAGTTGGGAGCTGACATAGATATGATGTTGGGTCCACCCTCCACGGGCAGGTTTTCAGACAAAGGATCCCTGGCAATCAGGGGACACCTCAGGTCTGGGCTGAGATGTGTGCAGAGGGCCTGGGTCCTCCTGAGCCCCTGCACTGGGGGGGGAATAAGAGACAGGCCCAGCAAGGGGCTGTCCACTTCCTGTGGGTTCACAGCTGTGGGGACCCAGGCAGGCGGCAGCAGGCTCTGACTTAACCACATCCGTGCATCTGTCTGTCATGGAGGGCCATGTGGTCACCTGTCCCACAGCTGGAGCACGCAGAGCAGGCATCATGGTGTCCATCCTCACTGTTCTTCTGTGCCTCAGTCAGTGGTGGAGAGACGAGGGACAGGAGGGGCACTGGGCTGAGGTGGGGAGGGTCCCACAGCAGCCTTGTTCACCAGAGAGCCTCAGGGCTCCAGTGGCTACTGGTGCTCCAACAGGAAGGGAAGCAGCCACACCTCTGTGTTCCAAATCCCCCACAGGAAACTCTTCTCCATGGCTGAGTCTGGGCCAGAAAGCCCAAGCACTTGCAGGTGAGTCTCTGCTAACCTCCCATGCCTGACCTCACACTCAGCACCTGGACTCTCATCTCAGGGGCTTCTGAACTGAGGGTGAGAAAATCAAGAGGGTCTGTGACCTGAGCTGGGAATGAGGAGCGGGGGAGGTCTGTGGACCCCAGCCTGTGGTTTCTTCCAGGGACCCTCCCCAAACCCAGCCTCTGGGCTGAGCCAGGCTCTGTGATTACCTGGGAGAGCCCCATGACCCTCTGGTGCCAGGGGACCCTGGATACCCAGGGTTACTATCTCACCAAGGAAGGAAACCCCATGACCTGGTACCAACAGAGCCCACCAGAGCCCAGGAACAAGACCAACTTCTTCATCCCATCCATGAGAGAGCACCATGCAGGGAGATACCACTGTCACTATCTCAGCCCTGCAGGCTGGTCAGAGCGCAGCGAGCCCCTGGAGCTGGTGGTGACAGGTAAGAGGACACTCAGGGGTCCCAGCCCCAGGCTCTGCCTGCAGGAAGGGGGTCGGCTCTCAAGGGCATCTCCGTTCTAATAACTCAGCCCTGGGGGATGATGTGGGACGCGTGAGCCCCATTTAAGACAGTGTCTCCTTCTCTCCTAGGAGCCCACAGAAAACCCACTCTCTCAGCCCTGCCGAGCCCTGTGGTGACCTCAGGAGAGAACGTGACCATCCAGTGTAGCTCAAGGGTGGGATTTCACAGGTTCATTTTGATTGAGGAAGGAGAAAACAAGCTCTCCTGGATGCTGGACTCACAGGAACTCTCCAAGGGGCTGTCCCTTGTCCCTGGCCCTGTTCCCTGTGGGCCGTGTGGCTGCCAGTCACCGGTGGATGTTCAGATGCTATGGGCATTACACGAACTTCCCCTGGGTGTGGTCGGAACCCAGTGATACCATGGAGATCCTGGTCTTAGGTATGGATGTCTTCCTCCTTGCCCTATTTATTTTTGAGAACTTACTCTCACGGAGCCCCATGTAGGAGGGTGGAACAAGGGAAGTTTGGGACTCCTGAGCCCAGAGACACTGAGTATGAGAGACAGTGAGACCTGCAGGGCCAGGAGGGGAGAAGGAAGGGGTGTGGGAGGAACCAGCCCTCCTAGTCCCGACTCTTCTTTCCCTCCAGGCGTGTCTAGGAAGCCCTCCCTCCTGACCCTGCAGGGCCCTGTCGTGGCCCCTGGGGAGAATCTGACCCTCCAGTGTGGCTCTGATGTCGGCTATGACAAATTCACTCTGTACAAGGAGGGGGGACATGACCTCGTCCAGGGCTCTGGCCGGCAGCCCCAGGCTGGGCTCTCCCAGGCCAACTTCACCCTGGGCCCTGTGAGGGTCTCCCACGGGGGCCAGTACAGATGCTACGGTGCACACAACCTCTCCTCCGAGTGGTCGGCCCCCAGTGACCCCCTGAGCATCCTGATCGCAGGTGAGGAGCCCAGCAGGTTCAGTCAGGGACCCACGCTCCGCACAGGCCCTGCTGGGGGAGCCCAGGTGGTGATGGCCAGGATGAGGGGTGGGGGTCCCAAGGGAGGGAGAGACAGACAGAGACAGGGGATGGGTGGGTAGAGGGAGACTCAGAGAAAACAGAGACAGAGACTGAGGGTCCCAGAGAGAGGCCTGGGGAGGTGTCAGCTCAGAACGAGGTGGGGCAGCCCCTCACCCATCCTTCTTCTCTCCAGGACAGATCCGTGGCAGACCCTCCCTCTCGGTGCAGCCGGGCCCCACGGTGGCCTCAGGAGAGAACGTGACCCTGCTGTGTCAGTCACGGGAGCAGTTGGACACTTTCCTTCTGACCAAGGAGGGGGCAGCCCATCACCCACTGCGTCTGAGATCAGAGCACCAAGCTCAGCAGCACCAGGCTGAATTCCCCATGAGTCCTGTGACCTCAGCCCACGCGGGGACCTACAGGTGCTACAGCTCACGCAGATTCTTCCCCTACCTGCTGTCTCACCCCAGTGACCCCCTGGAGCTCGTGGTCTCAGGTGAGGCCGCTGACCCTGTCCTCTCTGAGCTCAAACCTCAGCTCAGGCCCTGCCCCCAGGAGAGCTCAGGACGCTAAGGAAAGAGGGGAGTAAAGGGGGAGGGTCGGCAGGGGAGGGCCCAGCCCATGAGAGGGTGGAAATAGTCAGGGACCTCCTAATCCTGGGCTCCCACCCCAGAGACCTCAGATGGGGCTAAAGGCCAGGGAGGGCTGAAATGAGATATGGAGAAACCTTGGAGGAATCATGCTTAGGCTGAGGGTAGAAGATGGAGGCCCCACCCACTCCCCACCTGGGCTCCCCTGGCGGCCCCAAAATACTCAGTGCATACCTGAGACGAAGGGGAGATCATGCACCTGCTCACTGCAGCAATGCAGGCAAATTATTCAACAGCAAACCTCGTGTGCAATTCCTTTCTGTCCTTTATTTTTTATGTCCACATATCTAGTTTCTCTTTCTGTTTCTGAAGATTTCAAAGCAATGCTGGCATTTATAATTTACACATTTAATTTGTTAGGTAGCGTTATGATGTAAAATAACTGTGCTCTGATTTTCTTTGGGATTAAATTAAATATGTGCATTCATGATGGAGAATAACTTCTCATTAATAATGTCTTTGTATCCAATACATTTAAAATTAAACTTTATACAGTTAGCAGATGCTTGAAGTTGTATTCATAAAAATTGTGGACATTGTGAATTTTAAGCATTGTTTTACTACTTGAATAATTTGAAAGTCTTTGATTCCTTTCTATTTTCTAAAATTAGTTACGTATGGATGAGAAAGCTATTGGTTTGGGTATGCTAATTTTAGTTCCTATTAACTTACCACAGACACACTCCCTTTCAATCCTTTCCGAAATGATCTCTTCTGATTTATTGATAATAATTACATTAACCACAAGAAAATGGAGGACAAACTTGTTTGTTTCTAAATTATATAATACTCTTCTCACTTCAAATATATATGTATGTGTTTATATATACTCACACACTATTATATATCTTATAATATATATTATGTATTATATATTTATATATACACTATTATATATCTTATATATTATGTATTATATATTTATATATACCCACACATTATTATATCTTATAATATATATTATGTATTATATATTTATATATACCCACACATTATTATATCTTATAATATATATTATGTATTATATATTTATATATGCACTATTATATATCTTATATATTATGTATTATATATTTATATTACCCACACATTATTATATCTTATAATATATATTATGTATTATATATTTATATATACACACACTATTATATATCTTATTATATATTATGTATTATATATTTATATATACTATTATATATCTTATAATATATAATGTATTATATATTTATATATACACACACTATTATATATCTTATATATTATGTATTATATATTTATATATACATACTATTATATATCTTATAATATATTATGTATTATATATTTATATATATACACTATTATATATCTTATTATATATTATATATTTATATATGCACACACTATTACATATCTTATTATATATTTATATGTATACACACACTATTATATATCTTATTATATATTATGTACTATATATTTATATATACTATTATATATCTTATAATATATAATGTATTATATATTTATATATACACACACTATTATATATCTTATATATTATGTATTATATATTTATATATACATACTATTATATATCTTATAATATATTATGTATTATATATTTATATATATACACTATTATATATCTTATTATATATTATATATTTATATATGCACACACTATTACATATCTTATTATATATTTATATGTATACACACACTATTATATATCTTATTATATATTATGTACTATATATTTATATATACTATTATATATCTTATAATATATAATGTATTATATATTTATATATACACACACTATTATATATCTTATATATTATGTATTATATATTTATATATACATACTATTATATATCTTATAATATATTATGTATTATATATTTATATATACACACTATTATATATCTTATTATATATTATATATTTATATATGCACACACTATTACATATCTTATTATATATTTATATGTATACACACACTATTATATATCTTATATATTATATATTTATATATACTCACACTATATCTTATAATACATATTATGCATACACATATGCATAATACATATTATCTATACACATATGCATAATACATATTATGTATACACATATGCATAACACATATTATGTATACACACATATTTACACCTATGCATATATGTATGTATGTATGCGAATGTACCTCTGCCACGGCAGGGAAAGGTTCTATCACACAACTACAGAGCAGTTAGGAGAAGTGTAGACACAAAGGAATGCAGCAACTGAGGGACATGTTGGCTTAAGTCTCTTCAACTCCTCACACACCTCCCCCTTTTTTGGTTGATTCTCAGGAGCAGCTGAGACCCTCAGCCCATCGCAAAACAAGACAGACTCCAAGACTGGTGTGTAAGGAGATGCTCTCGGTTATGGGGCTGGCACAGAGGGTCAGGTCCTGTGAAGGGGAGGTGGGTGCCCTGGGTGGACATCCAGGGGTCCCGGGTGATGTTGATCTGCCCTGACCTCTGAGACCTCTTGGTCCACCATCCCCAGCCTCACACCCCCAGGATTACACAGTGGAGAATCTCATCCGCGTGGCTGTGGCTGGCTTGGTCCTGGTGGTCCTCGGGATTCTGCTGCTTTAGGACTGGCACAGCTAGAGAAGTCCCCAAGATGCAGCAAGGAGGTAAATACATGAGAGAACAATGCACCCTTCAGAGTGCCAGAGCCTTGGCAATGAATCTGATAGTCCTAGGAGGTTCTGGAAGAAAGTCTGGACCATCATTCGGGAAACCGTCTACTGAGAAAGTCGAGAAGGGGAGGCTTGGGTCAGGTTCAGGAAGATGTCTGGGTGCCTGTAGAGAACGCTTCCTCCATTAAACTTCCATTAAATGGCAGTGCTTTCAGTCCTGCTGTTGTGGATCCTCCGTGTCTGCCCCTCCCTTCCTTTCGCTCTCTGTGATGTGAAGGCACGTCCCCCATGGTGGGTTTGCATCCACACCCCTGCGATCACGTGCTCTGGTCCACTGTCATGTAATACATTTGTCTTTGTTTCCAACTACCGCATTCTCTAAAGTGAACTATTGATTCTCCATCTTTTCAGTTCTGAGCATAGATCTGGATTAAATAACTGGAATAGGTGGGCAGATTTGTATTTGGGACTTTGAAACATGAGTCTGAGGCCAGGCACAGTGGCTCACACCTGTAATCCCAGCACTTTGGGAGGCTGAGGTGGGCGGATCACTTGAGGTCAGAAGTTCGAGACCAACCTGGCCAACATGGTGAAACCCTGTCTCTACTAAAAGATACAAAAATTAGCTGGGTGTGGCAGTGAGCACCTGTAATCCCAGCTGCTCAGGAAGCTGAGGCGGGAGAATAGCTTGAACCCGGGAGGCGGAGGTTGCAGTGAGCCAAGATCTTGCCACTGCACTCCAGCCTGGGCAACAGAGCAAGACTCCATCTCCAAAAAAAAAAAAAAAAAGGGAAATATGAGTCTGAAATGATGCCCTAGCACCCTCTCTGGACCCTGAATTCCCTTCACTCTTCATCGGATGATACCTGTGTACTTTGTCCAGAAATATCATCTCTCAGAATGAGCACACTAACGCTCGAAGGCTCAGCCTCATGGTATTCTGTTAAACTGGCTCTCTGAAAAAATTATTTTCTTAAGAAAACTCTGAACATATAAAGCCCCAGATTTATGGTATTTGCTGATTAGTGTGGTATAAATACGTCCTTTATGGCCAACTTCAGGGTGCCCATATGACGCCATTGAATGCACAGTTGGGAAGTAGTCAAAAGAATTGTCGTTCACACGAGTATGAACCAGTTGTAAAGTTTATTTAAAGGTTATAATAATTTCTGCTTCATTCTTATGGTGTAGTTTCAGTAAAATTGTAATGTCAAAAATCATAGCACAATGGAGGGAAAAGAAAAAAATAGGCCGGGTGTGGTGGCTCATGCCTGTAATCCCAACACTTTGGGAGGCCGAGGCAGGAGGATCACCTGAGGTCAGGAGTTCGAGACCAGCCTGGCCAACATGGTGAAACGCTGTCTCTACTAAAAATACAAAAATTAGCCAGACATGGTGGCGCCTGCCTGTAATCCCAGCTACTTGGGAGGCCAAGGCACGAGAATCGCATGAACCCAGGAGGCGGAGGTTGCAGTGAGCCGAGATCACTACAGCCTGGGTGATAGAGCAAGACTCAGTCTCAAGAAAAGAAAAAAGTAGCAAAATCATTTTTTGGAAAGAATATTGAACATGTAGAATTTTAGTACATTAATAGTAAGAGTACAAATTGCTTTAATCAATTAAGGAAGTGTATTGGAATTATCTAGTTAAAAAGAGGAGGCACATGGCTGTGACCCTTCTTAATTATGTACTTAATTATGTACCCTAGAGATAAATGTCTACTTATGTGTCATGATACACTCACAACTGTTATAGGAATGCTGTTCCTATTAGCCAAAGCTATAAAATACCAAAGTCCACCTACGAAAAAAATAAACATAGTGTGGTAAATAGACTCAGTGGAATATTACAAGGTAGTAAAATGCATAAATGAAAATAACAAACAGCACCATACTTCAATTTTCAAGCATAAAGTCAAGTAAATGAAGTATTATTTGAAAATGTGTGCATGGTTATTTCATTACATAAAGGTCAAAAGGAGGGTACATTTATTATTTAGGAAAACACACCTAAGATATCTTTGTAAAATCTGTAAAATCAATAGTACTGTTTCCCCTCTTTCATTCCTTATCTTGAAAATGCTTGTCTCTTTTTCTGCCATGGCTTTCTACCTTGCTTGATATATTACAATTTTGTAACCTGCTTATTTCATCATATGTCATAAGTTCACATGTATATCCCATGAATTATTGAGGGTCTTATTCATTTCAAGTGGCATTTAGGTTTTTAAAAATATCTTTTGGCGACCAGGTGCAGTGGCTCATGCCTGTAATCCCAGCACTTTGGGAAGCCAAGGCAGGTGGATCACGAGTTCAAGAGACAGAGATCATCCTGGCGAACATGGTGAAACCCCGTCTCTACTAAAAATACAAAAAAAAAAAAAAAAATAGCTGGGCATGGTAGAGGGTGCCTGTAGTCCCAGCTTCTCAGGAGGCTGAGGCGGGAGAATGGCATGAACCCGAGAGACGGAGGTTGCAGTGAGCCGAGATCGTGCCACTGCACTCCAGCCTGGCAACAGAGTGAGACTCTGTCTCAAAAAAAAAAAAAAAAGAAAGAAAGAAAGGAAGAAAAAAAAATCTTCTGGCATTAACTATTAAGAAATTGCACTATAAAAAGAGAATATAATGCATAAGACGGCAATTTGAAAAGATTCAGATATAATTTTTTCTTATCTAGTAAATACTTAGTAATTTGTCTAATGCATGCCTTAAATACATACCACTTTATGCAGAGGTTGCCATGAGCCGAGATCGCGCCGTTGCACTCTAGCCTGGGTGGCAGAGCAAGACTCCATCTCAAAAAAAAAAAAGAAAATCTCACAGAAGGAGACCCAGAGCTTCCAGCCTCGCCCAGAGTCTTGGCTCACTCCCTGTGTGTGTGGACCCTAGGGAGCCTCTTCTGTTCCCCACAGAGGTGGAAACTTCCTCCTTAATAACCCCTTGATGGTCCCAGGCACTGGTGACCACTGAGCTTTGCTCTCTCTTTTTTCTTATGGTTCCCTGTCTACTTCCAGGGCTATCACTTTACTTTTTGTGCATTAGACCATGAATAATGTTTTAGAAACATTCTATCAAATTTCTCAGTGCTAGGAACAACTGAGGTTTTTGATTGGGTGCCTCAAATGTCTACCCTTACTGTGGAGTCCGACAACAGGATTCTAACAAGTCCCAACCCCTTCATGCCTTAACCTGGTCTGGAAATAAATTATGTTTAAGCCATCCCATACCCCAGCCACATCAAGCCCCACAACCACTCTGAGAAGTGAGATTTATAGCAAAATGCTCCAAACAAGGTAACTAAGGTTCAGACAAGGGATGTTAATGTGTCCATTTACATAAACAAAAAATGGTAGATGATCAGCTTTCCCTTTGAAATCAGAGTACTAATCTGACTCATTGTTCCCTGAATTTTAGAGGCAGGACCTCAGGAGGAGCTAAGAATCCTACCCCAGGAAAATTACCAATATCAGAAAGGAAACAATGACATCAGTACAGATCCTACAGAATTCAAAAGATTCTAAGTGGACATTATGAAGACATTATTCAGCTTAGATGAAGTGGTCACATATCACAAGAAAACAAACTGTCTAAAACAATCTCTGAAATACCTAGACATTCCCTGAATCATTGAGTTATTAAATAAAATACATTTTAAAATTAAACTCTTTTCAGGAAATAAACTTCAATGTCCCCTAGTGCACTCTCCAAAACATGTAGATGGGAATAAATACTGTTCTGAAAGACATTTCCCTGGAATTACAACCATTCAATATATTTTAAAAGGCAATCATAAAAATATAAAAAGGATATATCAGGAGAAGAAATGTAAATGGCCTAAATTCCCCACATAAAAGGCATAGAGTGGCAACGTGGATAAAAAGCCAAGAGCCAACTGCCTGCTGTCTTCAAGAGACCCATCTCACATGTAATGACACCCACAGGCTCAAAGTAAAAGGATGAAGAAATATTTACTAGGCAACCAGGAAACAAAAAAAAGGAAGGCATTCCTATTCTTATATCACATGAAACACACTTTAAATCAACAGCAATCAGGAAGGACAAAGAAGGGCATTACAAAATGATAAAGGGTTCAATTTGACAGAAGACTTAACTATTCTAAATATATATGCACCCAAATTTGGAGCACCCCGATTCATAAAACAAGTTATTCTTCACCTATGAAAAGAGTTAGACAGCCACACAATAATAGTAAGGGACTTCAGTATCCCACTAACAACGTCAGATGAATCACTAAAACAGAAAACTAACAAAGAAATTCTGGTCTTAAAGACAACACTTGACCAATTGGACCTCATAGACATCTACAGAGTACTCCACCCAACAACTGCAGAATATAGATTCTTCTTATCTGCACACACAAAAAACATATCATATTCTAAGACTGGCCACAAAGCAAGTCTCAATAAATTCAAAGAATCAAAATCATAACAAGGCACACAATAAAAATAGAAAAAAATACCAAGATGATCTCTCAAAACTACAGAAAAACATGGAAATTTAACAACTTGTTTCTGAATGAATATTAAGAGCCATCTATGACAAATCCACAGCCAACATCATATTGAATGGTCAAAAGCTGGAACTCTACCCCTTGAGAACTCTTGGGTGAACAATGAAATTAAAGCAGAAATCACAAAACATTATTTAAAATTAATAAAAATAGAAACAAACTTACCAAAACCTTTGGGATGCAGTTAAAGCAGTGATAAGAGGAAAATTTATAGCAATACATGCCTCATCAGAAGTTTAGAAAGATCTCAAATTAGTGACTTAACACTGCATCTAGAGGAACTATTAAAAAAAAGGAACAGTCCAAACCCAAGGCCAGCAAAAGATGAGAAATAACTAAAGTCAGAGAGAACTGAATAAATTGAGACCAAAAAGTCCATACAAGAGATAAATAAAACCAAGAGTTTTTCTTTGAAAAAAAATAAACAAAATTCATAGACTGTTAGCTAGATTAACAAAGAAAAAGAGAAAAGATCCAAATAAACACAAATAGAACTGACAAAACAATGTTACGAACAATCCCACAGAAATAGAAAAGATCGTCAAAGACTATTATGAACACCTCTATACAAACAAGCTAGAAAACCTAGAAGAAATGGATAAATTCCTGGTAACACAAAATTTATCATATTTCAACCAGGAAGAAAGTGAAAACCTGAACAGACCAATAACAAGTTCAGAAATTTAATCAGTAATAAAAACCCTACTAACTAAAAATAGCCCAGGACCAGATGGATTCACAGCCAAAATCCAACAGCCATACAAAGAAGAACTGATACCGATCTTACTGAAACTTTTGGAAAAAATCAAGGAGTGGGGGCTTCTTCCTAACTCATTCTATGAAGCCATCATCACCATGATACCAACATCTGTCAGAGACATAATGAAAAAAAGAAAACTACAACTAAATATCCTTAATGAACATAGACATAAAATCCTCAACAAAATGCTAGCAAATTGAATCTGTCAGTGCATCAAAAGTTAATTCACATGATCAAGTAAGCTTTATTTTTGGGATGCAAGGTTGGTTCAACCTACAAAGTCAACGAATGTGATTCACCTCATAAACATAATTAAAAACAAAAACTATATGATCATCTCAATAGATGCAGAAAAAGCTTTCTGTAAAATCCAACATCCCTTCATGATAAAAACTGTCAATAGGCATCAAAGGAACATACCTCAAAATATTAAGAGCCATCTATGACAAACCCACAGCCAACATCATATTGATGGGCAAAAGCTGGAACCATACCCCTTGAGAACCGAAACAAGACCAGGATGACCACTCCCGCCATTTTAATTCAACATGGTACTGGAAGTCCTAGCCAAAGCAATCAGGCAAGAGAAGGAAATAAAAGGCATTAAAATTGGAAAAGAAGTAGTGATACTGTCTCTCTTTGCTGATGAAATAATTTTATACATAGAAAACCCTAAAGACTCTGTCAGAAGGCTCCTGAAACTGATAAACAAATTCAATAAAGTTTCGGGATTAAAAAAATGTACACAAATTAGTAACATTTCTATGCACCACTAACATTCTAGCTGAGAACTAAATCAAGAACACAATTCCATTTACACTAGCCACAAAGAAAATAAAATACCTAGGAATCCATCTAACCAAGAAGGTGAAAATTCTCTACAAGGAGAACTACAAAACACTTCTGAAAGAAATAAGAAATGATACAAACAAATGGAAGAATATTCCATGCTCATGAATTAGGAGAACAAATAGTTAAAATCGCCATACTTCCAAAAACAAATTGCAGACTCAATGCTATCCATTTCAAAATGCAATGTCATTTTTCACGAAATTATAAAAATTTATTCTAAAATGTATTTGGCACCAAAAAAAGAGCCTGAATACACATAGGAATCCTAAGCACAAAGAACAAAGCCCAGGCATCACATTACCCAACTTCAAACTATACTACAATGCTATAGTAACCCAAACAGCATGATACTACTACAAAAACAGACACATAGACCAATGAGACAGAATAGAGAACCCAGAAATGAGGCTACATACCTACAATCATCTTTGAAAAAATTGACAAAAACAAGCAATGTGGAAAGTACCCTTTCTTCAATAAATAGTTCTGGGATAACTGACTACTCATATGCAAAATAATAGAACTGGACCCCTAACTCTCACTATATACAAAAATTAACCCAAGATAGTTTAAAGATTTAAATGTAAAACCTCAAAATATTAAAATTCTAGAAGAAAACCTAGGAAATATCCTTCTCAAGATAGACTTTGGCAAAGAATTTATGGCTAACTCCCCAAAACCAATTGTGACAAAGACAGAAATTGGGACCTAACTCAACTGAAGAGCTTCTGCACAGCAAACGAAAGTATCAACAGAGTAAACAGATAACCTACAGACTGGGAGAAAATATTTGCAAACTATGCATCTGACAAAGTTCTAATATCCAGAATCTATAAGGAATGTAAACAAATCAACAAGCAGAAAACCAAAAAACCTCAATTAAGTATGACATGAACAGACACTTCTCAAAAGAAGATGTACACATGGCCAAAAAACATATGAACAAATGCTTATTATCAGTAATCATCAGAGAAATGCAAATTAAAACCACAGTGAGATACCATCTCACAACAATCAGAGAAGCAGAAGCAATTACTAAAAAGTTTTTTGTTTTTTTTAATAACAGATGCTGACAAGATTGTGGAGAAAAGGGAACACTTATACACTCTTGGTGGGAATGTTAACTAGTTCAGCCAATGTGATAAGCAGTTTGGAGACTTCTCAAATAACTTAAAATAGAACTACTATTCAATCAAGCAATCCCACTACTGGGTATATACCAAAAGGAAGGTAATTAACTATGTCAAAAAGACACATGCACTAGTATATTCATTGCTGTGCAATTCAGAATAGCAAAGATTTGCAGTCAACCTAAGTGCTCACCAACAGTGGATTAGTTAAAGAAAATGTGCTACATATACACATGGAACATTACATGGCCATAAAAAATAATGAAATCATGTCCTTTGCAGCAACATGAATGTAGCAGGAGGTCAATCTCCTAAGTGAACTAACCCAGGAACAGAAAACCAAATACCACATGTTATCACTTATAACTGAGAACCAAACATTGAATACACATGAACATAAAGATGGAAACAACAGATACCGAGGACTACAGATGGGGGGAGGAGTAGGGAGGTATAGGCTGAAGAAACACCTGTTGGATTCTATGCTCATTGCCTGGGTGATGGCATTGTTGGAACCACAAACCTCAGAGTCACACAATATGCCTATGTAACAAACCTGCATGCATACCTTTAATCTACAGTAAAGGTTGAAGTTATTTAAAAATAGGAAGAAGAATTACCCTATACCTAAAGCTAAGATTTTTCCCTTTGAATATTCGTTTCTTCATCACTGTAGATAAGCAGGGAAAGAAAAATTATTATACTATACTAGCCTTTTATGTGACCATGAGGATTTGGGGTAGGTAGGTGGACAGCTTAGATAATTCACCAGGATATTGATACAGGCTCCATGGCTGGAAATAACCAAGGATGAGTGCTGTGTTTTGAGTGGTCTCCCCCAGAAACGTTTGTTGAAATCCTAACCCCTGGTATGTATGAATGTGAATTCATATTATATAAAAAGGAATAAATAGCCTGAGCACAGTGGCTCACACCTGTAATCCCAGCACTTTGGGAGGCCAAAGCAGGTGGATCATTTGAGGTCAGGAGTTCTGGCCAATATGGCAAAACTTCATCTCTACAAAAAAAAAATACAAAAAAAAAAATTGGCTGGGTATGGTGGCGCATGCCTGTAGTCCCAGCTACTCAGGAGGCTGAGGCAGGAATTGCTGAAACCTGGAAGGCAGAGGTTGCAGTGAGCCAAGATCATGCCACTGCACTCCAGCCTGGGTGAGACGGCAAGATATTCTGTCAAAAATAAATAAATAAAAAACAGAAGAAGAAATACAAGAATGACAGCAAACTTTGTATTCAAAACTATGAAAGTAAGAAATAGGTGGACCAACATTTTTAAAGTGCTACAAGAAAATATTTCAAACTAGAATCTTTCAACCTGAAAAGGAAAACATTTTCCTGCAATAAAGGTGCCATTAAAAATGTCTCACAATTTATTACATGAAGCATTGTTCTACAATAAATGTTAAGCTCTTGAAGCAAAGATTAATGATACCATTTAGTAACTTGAAATTCAAAAAAGTGGAAGTATCCCAAGAGGCAAATACGTGTGCAATTATTAAATGTTTCATATCAACACCCAACCTTATGCTGTCTACATAAGCTGCACTTCAAATACTAATCCACAAGATGTAAATATTGAAAGAATGACATTACATTGTCATGATAATGCCCAGTGCAAAATATGCTTCTAGTCAGTTGTATACATAGAATAGGTAAATGTTTGTAATAAAAAGTATTCCTCAATAGAAGTTTCTTAACTCAAAGAATGAAATATTTCACCATGCACATACAAAGAAGAGATATATGGAGATATGAAGAGGAGTACTTCATAATGACAAAGAGGCAAATTCATAAATAAGACATAATAATCCTAAATGCCTACACACCTAAAGCTGGAACCTCAAAACACATTAAATTAAAGGCATAATTCAAAACATAATCAATCACATCCAAATTGCAGCTAGAGATAGCAACATTCACCTCACTTCCAGAACAAGTACACAGAAAATTATTAAGCATATGAAAGACTTGAAAAACATTTGTGTAGGCGGCGGGTGCATAAGGTTGGGTGTTGATATGAAACATTTAATAATTTCAATAATCCTAGCACTTTGGGAGGCCAAAATGGGAGGATCACTTGAGGCCAGGAGTTTGAGACCAGCCTGGGCACCATAGTGAGACCCCGTCTCTATTTTTTTTAAATAAAGAAAAACATTTGAATGATTTTTTTCTTAACTGACATTTAGAAAACATCCACCTCAAATCTTCCTAATCCACAAACTTGTCTAGCACCCCTGGAACATTCACCAAAATAAATTTTTAAATGCTGAATCATAGGTAATATGATAGATGAAACAGTTGAATTAAATTATAAATGTACAACAAGGAAATGCTGGGGAAATTATCAAATATTTTAAAATTAATAAACACACATAGCAATAAACAATGAGTGGAAGAAAAACATTTCAAAGAAAGGTGGAAAATATTTTGTATCAATTAAAAATGAAAACACATCTCGGCAAATGACTGGGGATACAGATAGAACAGTGTTAAAGGAAAATAAGCCTCAAATGTCTGTGTTAGAAAAGAAGGAAGAGCTGAGTAAATAGGTAACTTTCGCTTGCAGAAATACTACACATCAGCAAATTAATTCCAAAGTAACGTCGAGGAAAAACATAAAATGGCAAGCAAATATATACGTGCATATGTACGTATATTCATAAATGACAAACAGGACAGAAAAATCAGTGACATCAATTTTGTTCCTTAGAAGAAACAGGAAAATTGACCCCAAAAAACTTTCCAGGCCACATTTGGTCATGATGGAAATATTTTGGCACTTCCTGGTTAAGCTCAACACCAACTTGCACCCAAAACCAATAATTTCATTCCTAGGTAAATATGTCTAATTAATTCAGCATATGTATGCAAGGGATCACACAGAAACACGATTATCAAGGCCCGAGTTATAAAAGAGAAAATCCGGAAACAACACAAATGTCCATGATAAAAAGAGTGGATAATTACATGTTGATAAAGTTATGTATGGACTATTAAACTGCAATCCAAAAGAATAAAATAGAACTATAAAATTCAATATGTATATGGTGTCATAGAAACACAAATGTGAGAAAAAGAAAGAAAAATACAAAATTTATATTTTTTAAAATTTGAAACAACTATATATGTGAGTGCTTAGGGTGTGTGTGTGTGTGTGTGTGTGTATAACCATATGTATATAAACGCACACATACGCACACATATAGAATGTCCCGGCCAGGCATGGTGGCTCACACCTGTAATCTCAGCACTTTGGGAGGCTGAAGTAGACAGATCACTTGAGGTTAGGAGTTCAAGACCAGCCTGGCCAACATGGAGAAACCTCCTCTCTACTAAAAGTACAAAAATTAGGTGGGCGTGATGGTGGGTGCCTGTAAATCCAGCTACTTAGGAGGCTGAGGCACGAGAATTGCGTGAACCTGGGAGGTGGAGGCTGCAATGAGCCGAGGTCTCACCACTGCATTCCAAACTGGGTGACGAAGTGAGATTGCGTCTCAAAAAAAAAAAAAGTTCTAAAAGTTGTGACTTGGGTGTGGCAGATTGTGACATACTGCCAGCTGCTAGAAATGCTGGGGCAGGAGGATTGCTTGAACTCTGAAGTCAAAGAACAGCCTGGGGAAAATAGCACATGAAGAAGAGTTTGAATCTCAGATAAAAACAACAAAAATACATCAAAAGTCTTTAATGTAAGCCAAGCATTCAGTCATCTCCTGTATGAGAGATTGGATCTGAGACGTGTTTTGAGTTGGTTATAGTGAAGGATGCAAGGTGTCAATTCTAGTTGGAACAATTTCCAGGAAGCCATGTTCCGCTCTTGACCAAACAGCCACTGGGCCTCATGCAAGGTAGAAATAGCCTGCATACGTCATCCTCCCATGATGTGGTCAGCATGTAAACTGCATGAGCCCCTCACAACATCCTGTGTGCTGCTGAACTGAGCTGGGGCGCAGCCGCCTGTCTGCACCGGCAGCACCATGTCGCTCATGGTCGTCAGCATGGCGTGTGTTGGTGAGTCCTGGAAGGGAATCGAGGGAGGGAGCGCTGGGGTGGAGATCTGGGCCTGGAGTGGAGATCTGGGCCTGGAGTGGAGATATGGGCCTGGAGTGGAGATATAGGCCTGGAGTGGAGATATGGGCCTGGGGTGGAGATATGGGCCTGGAGTGGAGATATGGGCCTGGAACTGTAGATATGGGCCTGAAGTAGAGATATGGGCCTGGAGTAGAGATATGGGCCTGGAACTGTAGATATGGGCCTGGAGTGGAGATATTGGCTTGGAGTGCAGATATGGACCTGGAATTGAGATACGGGCCTGGAGGTGGAGATATGGGCCTAGAGTGGAGATATGGGCCTGGAGGTGGAGATATGGGCCTGGAACTGTAGATATGGGCCTGGAGTAGAGATACGGGCCTGGAGTGGAGATGTTGGCTTGGAGTGCAGATATGGGCCTGGAATGGAGACACGGGCCTGGAGGTGGAGATACAGGCCTGGAGGTGGAGATATGGGCCTGGAGTGTAGATATGGGCCTGGAGTAGAGATATAGGACGGAGGTGGAGATATAGGCCTGGAGTGGAGATATGGGCCTGGAGTAGAGATATAGGACGGAGGTGGAGATATAGGCCTGGAGTGGAGATATGGGCCTAGAGGTGGAGATATGGGCCTGGAGTGGAGATATGGGCCTGGAGGTGATGTACAGATGGATCATCCATCATGATCTTTCTTTCCAGGGTTCTTCTTGCTGGAGGGGCCCTGGCCACATGTGGGTGAGTCCTTCCCCCAAACCTTAGGTTGTCATCTCCCCACATAAGATGATGCTCCTGAAACGGGAGGCAGGCGACACAGGGGGTTGACTGATGGGCTGACCATGGGAAGCCATGTGGGAATCTCTCATGAACTAGGAAAAGGAAGCCAGGGGAAGCTTCGCCACAGTTCTGTCCTAGCCCTCCCCGGCCTTTCTTTCCCTTGGCTGAGTCTGTGGGGACCCAGGGGGAGACTGAAGTGCTCAAAGGAGTGGTGTGCAGGGAGGAAGTGGTGTCACCGGCAGAGGAAGGGAGAGAAGCAGTGCAAGGAACAACAGGCCTCTGAGGACAAGAGCATAACTCACACCCTCCAGCGTTTCCATGACGGTAGGGGCTGCAATGTGGCTGCTGTCATTCTACCTAAGAGGTGGGGGAACCACAGTCATGACCCTGACATTCCAGATCTTCTAATAGGGGCTCAGTTGTTTATTATGGTTCATGCATTAGCTGATCATGCCCTCCATCCTGTGTCTACCTTGTGTTCTTTTATGTAAGTAATTTTGCAGTGTTAAAATCTAGTAAGAGTCGCTTCTTCAGCACCTGCTCAAAGTTCTCAGCTGACACTTGCTGTAGGGAGACGCCATGTCTATGCGGGATGGGTCCTTCCTGTAGCCCTGGGCACCCAGGTGTGGTAGGAGCCTTAGAAACGTGGAAATGGGAGAATCTTCTGAGCACAGGGAGGGAGGGGCGGCTCCACATCCTCCTCTCTAAGGTGGTGCCTCCTTCTCCCCCAGGTGGTCAGGACAAGCCCTTCCTCTCTGCCTGGCCCGGCACTGTGGTGTCTGAAGGACAACATGTGACTCTTCAGTGTCGCTCTCGTCTTGGGTTTAATGAATTCAGTCTGTCCAAAGAAGACGGGATGCCTGTCCCTGAGCTCTACAACAGAATATTCCGGAACAGCTTTCTCATGGGCCCTGTGACCCCAGCACATGCAGGGACCTACAGATGTTGCAGTTCACACCCACACTCCCCCACTGGGTGGTCGGCACCCAGCAACCCTGTGGTGATCATGGTCACAGGTCAGAGGCTTTCTGTCTGGGCTTCTCACTGTCCCACCTCCTGAATCCCAGAGCTTCTGGTGGGGGCGTCCATCAGGGTCCAATCATCCAGGCCCCGACTGTATTTGGGGTAAAGGGGGATTCAGTACAGAGAAATAGTTGCTGTGGTGGGAAGAATAATTGTCCCCAGTGATGGCTACATGGTAATCCATGAACCCTGTGACTATTTATGTTATAGGGCAGGGGACTGAAGAGGAAGATGGAGCTCAGGTTGTTGATGAGTTGACCTTGCGATGGGGAGACAGCCTGGACTGTCCTGCTGTGCTCAGAGTAATCACAAGGGTCCTCATGAGAGGAGGAGGAAGAGGAAAGTGGGGTTAGAGCAACGTCGTGGGAGGGAGACTCCATCAGCCACAGCGGGCTTTGAAGATGGGGGAAGGCCATGAGCCACAAAGGCAGGTGGCCTCTAAGGGCTGGAGAAGTCAAGGGAACTGATTCTTCCCTGAGTCTCCAGAGGAAACACAGCCCTGCAGATGCCTTGATTTTAGCCCAGAGAGAACTGGGTCCGATTTCTGTTCTCCAGAAGTGGAAGGGGTCATTGTATTCTCTCCTGCCCCATGTTTGTGACAATTTTCTCCAGCAGCAACAGGAAACCAACACAGGAACCCAGGTGAAGCACAGGTTAAGAAACCAAACAAGGAGAAGGTTGGCTACACTGATTTTAGCATGGGTGGGATACTGATGCTACCACCAGGCTCGATCCACATAGGGAGGGGTTGATGCTCCTGGAACCAGCACCAGGGGCCACCCTATGGAAGCTGGGGCCATGGAGAAGGCACAGACATGAAAGGAGAGGCTCCCAATCCCCATCAGGAACAGGGACACTGATGCCTGCCTTACTGATGAGTTCGTACCTCCTGCCGGCCTTTCCAATCTGTCCAAAAGAGATTGATTCAGGCTGCTAAGAGCCTGGACATGCAGCCTGTCATGGTTCCTCTTCCACCCCCACATAAACACCAGGAAAGAGATTAGTGGGAAACAGATACAACAGCCTAAGAGGTGACACTGAGCACAGTGGGAAGGGAATCAGGGCTACTAGAGACAGAGAGACAGGGAAGAGGGAGGGAGACAGATGGAGGGACCTGCAACAGGGGTTATGGGCACAAAAGAACACGGAGACACAGACAGGAAGGAGACAGATAGACACCATGGAGGGGAAGCCTCACTTATTTCAGGTCCCATGAATGGGATGAGAAAGGGAGACGCCTTCTGAACTCACAACCTCTCTTCTTAGGAGTCCACAGAAAACCTTCCCTCCTGGCCCACCCAGGTCCCCTGGTGAAATCAGGAGAGACGGTCATCCTGCAATGTTGGTCAGATGTCAGGTTTGAGCGCTTCCTTCTGCACAGAGAGGGGATCACTGAGGACCCCTTGCGCCTCGTTGGACAGCTCCACGATGCGGGTTCCCAGGTCAACTATTCCATGGGTCCCATGACACCTGCCCTTGCAGGGACCTACAGATGCTTTGGTTCTGTCACTCACTTACCCTATGAGTTGTCGGCTCCCAGTGACCCTCTGGACATCGTGGTCGTAGGTGAGAGAATACAGACCTGCCTCTCACCCTTGCTGGGAGATGGAGTGAATGATCTAGGACTGGAAGCCCCAGGTGGTCATGAGGAAGATGAGTGTGGGGTTCCTATGGAGAGAAAGTGACTTGGTGAGGTCTGTACCAACAAAGGCAGAGAAACAGGAGACACAAGTACAGACCTCATGTCATAACATAGAAGCCAGACACAGGGGCCATACAAGGTGTTAGAAAAAGAGATAAAGAGGTAAAGAAGACACAGAGAGACAGACATATCCCAGAGAGAGGTGTCCTTCTATGCTGACTTTGTTCAGAGACCAGGCACAGGTTAGAAGGTTCCATTCTGTTTTACCTCTACAAAGTGTTCTCTCCCAGGAGAACCCAAAGAGACACATCTATCTGGCCTGAGTTGGGCCATGTGGCCCCAGGCTGGTGGCACCTACAGATGTTGTGTTTATTCTTAAACCTCTGCCTTCCGTGCAGTGGAGCTGTCATCGTCCCAGGACACCATGGCCCCAGGTGAGGGAGCAGAACACCAACCCCTGTATGCTGTGAGTTCCTGGAGTCCCCATACTGGATTCTGAGGCTCATATTCAAATAGCACCACATGTTATAGGATTACTGAGAACAAAAGCCCACAGAGAGACACGGAGTGAAATCAGGGAAATCAAAAAGCAAAGACATGAACACACACACAGAATGAGCCAGAAGAAGGGAATTGAGAGACTCACAGACACATAAAGAGATAGAAAAAGAGGGCAGAGAAGTGGAGCGTATGATGGAAGGAAGCAGAGAAAAGCCCTAAAATCAGAGCCCTGAGGGAGGGGCACAAAGACAGGGAAAGATAAAGATGTGAGGATGGATTGCAGAGACTCCAAAAGGGAACTAGAGAGACTGAGAGGCAGAGAAAGACAAGGAGATGGAGAGAGACAGATGATAGATGGACAGATAGATATAGATAGATGAAAGATAAAAGGTAGATGATAGATAATAGAGAGACAGGTGATAGACAAATAGATGATGAATGACTGATAGATGATATAGATAGACAAGTAGAAAGACAGACAGATGATATATAAATAGATATAGAGAGATAGAAAGACAGATAAACACATGATGATAGATGGATAGATGCATACATACATACATTGATTGATAGATGATAGATAACAGAGAGATAGGTCATAGATACACAGATGATGATAGATGATAGATACATACATAGATAAATGATAGATCGATCAATAGATAATAGATAGAAATATGCAGAAAGTTATGAGCAAGACAGAAAGTGAGAGACTCAGAATTAAAGAAAGAGGAAGATCAAGTCAACCAGTCCAAGGAGGGTCAGAGAGAATAAAATGGTACAAAAAAAGAAAACATAGCTAGGGATGGAGAAGTGAGGTCAGAGACCTAGAGAGACAGAGAAGGTGGAAGGAGGAAATAGACATGAAGAGAGATGGGGGTGGAGGGTGAGAGAGAGAAAGAGAGCATTAAGTCATAGAGCAGGGGAGTGAGTTCTCAGCTCAGGTGTGAGGAGAGCTGTGACAAGGAAGAACCTCCCTGAGGAAACCACCTCTTCTTCTTCCAGGTCTATATGGGAAACCTTCTCTCTCAGCCCAGCCGGGCCCCACGGTTCAGGCAGGAGAGAATGTGACCTTGTCCTGCAGCTCCCGGAGCTTGTTTGACATTTACCATCTATCCAGGGAGGCGGAGGCCGGTGAACTTAGGCTCACTGCAGTGCTGAGGGTCAATGGAACATTCCAGGCCAACTTCCCTCTGGGCCCTGTGACCCACGGAGGGAACTACAGATGCTTCGGCTCTTTCCGTGCCCTGCCCCATGCGTGGTCAGACCCGAGTGACCCACTGCCCGTTTCTGTCACAGGTGAGAAAACACCATGCCTGTCCCATGTCTTGTGATCCTAGAGCCATAGCTGAGGAGCTTCCTGCTGATGATGGAGAGAAGCATGGACAGATGCCGAGACAGAACACACAGCATGGGTGTAAGGGCGGGGTCAGGGCGCAGGATGGCAGACAGGGCACCTCCAAACCCTCCTGTATGGCCTGCAAGGATGCCCTTGATCAGGGTTCCAGGCACCCAGGCAGATGGAGAAAGAGGTCAGAACAGACCCAGAGGAGGGAGACTGGGCTCTGCCTGGGGAGATCAGAGGTTCTCTCAGCCCCTCAACCTTACCCACTTCCCAGAAGCCCATCCTGGCCTGTCACCCACAGAGAGATGTCATCACCAGCAACGCCTACACCCTTTTCTTTTTGTTTGAAGAAATATTTATTGAGGTGAAATATACCTATGTAATTTACCACCTTTACCATTTTTAAGTGTGAAGTCTACTGTTCATAAATACATTTATAGGCTGGGCACGGTGGCTCACGGTTGTAATCCCAACACTTTGAGAGGCCAAGGCAGGTGGATCATTTGAGATCAGGGGCTCAAGACCACCCTGGCCAACATGGGGAAAATCCATCTGTACTAAAAATACAAAATAATAATTATAATGATAATAATTAGCCGAGCATGGTGGCACATGCCTGTAGTCCCAGCTACTTGGTAGGGTTGGGCAGGAGTTGCACTTAATTGCAGGAGGCGGAGGTTGCAGTGAGCTGAGATCATGCCACTGCACTGCAGCCTGGGCAACAGAGAGAGACACTCTCTCAAAATTAATTAATTAATTAATTAGTATTCTTTTTTTTTTACCCTCCACCCTTCCCTTCCTGGCCTCTGGTAGCCACCATTCTACTCTCTACCTTTGTGAGATCCACCTTTTAGCTCCTGCATATGAGTGAGAAATGGAAATACTTGTAATGACCTCCAGTTCCATTCATGTGGCTGTAAATGACAGGATGTTACTCTTTCTATGGATGAGTTGTCCCTATTGTGTGTGTGTACCACATTCTCTCCATCCATTCACCCACTGATGGGCAGGTAGGTTGATCCACATCTTGGCTACTGTGAACACTGCTGGAACAGTCATGGGAGTGCAGATGTCACTTCGATACGCTGATGTCCTTTCCTTTGGGTTTACACCCAGTCATGGAATTGCTAGATCCTCTGGAAGTGTCTTTTTACATTTTGTTTTATGGTTTTTGTTTTTGTTTTTGTTTTTTTTAGACTGTTTCACTCTTGTTGCCCAGGCTGGAGTGCAGTGGCGCCATCTGGGCTCACTGCAACCTCCACCTCCAGGATTCAAGAGATTCCCCAGCCTCAGCCTCCCAAGTAGCTGGGTTACTGGCTCCCACCACCACACTCGGCTAATTTTTATATTTTTAGTAGAGACAGAGTTTCGCTATATTGGCCAGGCTGCTCTTCAACTCCTGACCTCAAGTGACCTACCCACCTCGGCCTCCCAATGTGCTGGGATTACAGGCATGAACCACTGTGCCCGACCTCATTTTATTTTTTGAGGAACTTCCATACTCTTCTCCTCTGTAATGGCTGTACTAATTTACATTCGTATCAGCAGTGTACCAGATGCAACCCTGGTTGACTCAGCAGAGCAAGAGACGTGCAGTAAGAGAGAATTTAGCTTATTTATGCACACGACACTTCCACTCACTCACTCGTTCAGCCAATGCCCCATGCTCAGGCTGTGCAGTGTGGAATCTTTTCCTATTGTTGCCATAACAAATTTCCACAAGCTTCGTGGATGAAAACATGTTTTTCTTAATTATCTCACAGTGCTGTAACTCAGAAGTATGAACTGCATTTCACTGGGCTGATATCAAAGGGACAGTAAGGCTGGATTTCTTTTTAAGGTTCCAAGCAAGAATCTGCTCCTTAACGTTTCCCAGCTCCTAGAGGCTCCCACGTTCCTGGGCCCCTGGTCCCCTTCCTCCTTCCTCCTTCCTCAAAGCCCACAAAGGCTGGTCACGTCTCACATGGCATCATTCAGACTCTTCTTCTTTACCCACACCTTTTTCTCTGAATCCTGCTCTGCCTTCTTCCTCATCTTTTAAGGACTTTGGGATTCTATTGGGGTCACCAAGATAATCCATCTCAATCTCCCTAAAATCATCCAGCGTACCCTCTTTTTAAGTTCAGCTGATTAGCAACCGTAATGCCATCTGCAATCTTCATTCCTCCTTTCCTGTAAAATAACATATTCACAAGCTATGGAGGCTAAGACAGGGACATTTTGGGGGTGGGGCAGCATTCTCCTGCCTTCCACAAATGGTAAACAGGATGCATTTGGCCTCTGCTCTTGGGACGCTGATATTGCAGATGGGTAAATGCGAGGGCAGAGAATGAATGCACAAGGGTACCAATAAATGAATGATCCATTGGGAAGCATCTGTGCACCAAATCTGGGGTTTTTTGTGTGTGTGTGTTTTTTTTGTTTTCTTTTTTTTTTTGAGTAGAGTCTCTCTCTGTTCCACAGGCTGGAGTGCAGTAGCACAATCTCAGCTCATTGCAACCTCTGCCTCCTGGGTTCATGCAATTCTCCTGCCTCAGCCTACCGAGTAGCTGGGATTACAGCTGTGCGCCACCACACTCGGCTAATTTTTTTGGTATATTTTTTTAGTAGAAATGAGGTTTCACCATGTTGTGCAGCCTGTCTCAAACTCCCAATCTCAAGTGATCCCACCGCCTTAGCGTCCCTAAGTGCAAAGATTACAGGCGAGAGCTACTGCGCCCAGCCAGGATTTAAAATAAGTAATAGATAATGCTGAGTATATAATTTCAGGTGACAGAGAAGGTCTCACTGATCAGATAATATTTGTGACCTTAATGGAAAAAATGGATTCAACCCTTGGAAGATTGGCGGAAGGATTTTCCACACTGAGCTCTCAGCCGTGAAGGCACAAAGGTGGAAACATTCTTAGTTCAAGGAAGAGGCTCTGCCTCAAATGCTGGGAATGAAGTGGGGAGAATGACAAGACAACTGTAGAGAGATGGAGAGCACACTGGGTACACAGGAAACTAAGGAGGAACAAGGAGCGTGTGTTTGATACTCACAGCCATTGGATTCAACTCAGAGCTAACTAGGAATCCCTACCTGATTAATAGTGACCGACATGAAAATAAGGGAGGCCCAGGTGCGTAACTGGAATCTAGGAGACGGTGGAAAAGGCAATTCCCGCCCCACTGGTGAAACGTAGGGTTGATTTACACACTAAATGAATGAAAGATGGATATAAGCTATGCTTGTGAGGTAGAATCATTTGCAGGGAGGGCTTGCTGGGTTTGATTTTTCCTAGTAGTTTAATCCTTGTTTCATTAATTTCTTTCTGAGATGTGTTTTTTTTCTACATCTAAATCAATACCTGGCAGAGGAGCGATAGACACATGAGGGGTGGTGCAAATGAAGGGACCTAGTATAATATAATATACAAGACTGTGGATGGGGGCTCACACCTGTAACCCAACACTTTGGGAGGCCAAGGCGGGTAGATCACTTAAGGGTAGGAGTTTGAGACCAGCCTGGCCAACATGGTGAAACCCCGTCTGTACTAAAAATACAAAAATTAGCCTGGTGCATTGGCACCTGCCTGTAATCCCAGCGACTGGGGAGGCTGAAGCAGAAGAATGGCTTCAACCCTGGAGGCAGAGGTTGAACTGAGATCGCATCACTGCACTCCAGCCTGACACAGGGGGACTCTGTCTCAAAAAATAAAAATAAAACATACATAATTATGACACACAGAAATTACAAAGGCAACTGGATACCAACCATCATTTTTCTATTTCTCTGTGTTTAATTCTTTGACCCTTTATCTTATCCATTAAACAATCAGGTTAAACCTCTTCCTTATTTGGCTTTCTGTGAGCTTGGGATCATATGGAAAATGTGAAAGCCTCCTGAACCCACCAGCACAGGTCCTGGAATAGAGAACGTGCTCTGTTCATGGCATAAAACTTGCCCCTTCACCCAAATCCCCCAATTCATCTCTACTTCCAATCACCTATGGAGATACAGATAGATCATGGGGAGGTAAACACTAATACTCTTTGGAGTGAGCTCAGATCTTGGACTCAGAGACCAGTGCCAGCACTAGCCCCTGGTCACATTTCGTACTAACTCACAGAAGGACAGGCTGTATTGAAACAATAAACGACGGAGAGGGCGGTCCTTCCCCGTGCTTCTCGGGTGGAATAGCAGCCTAATATATGTCTCAGCAGATCACAAAAAGTAGCATGTTGTTCCTGGGCTACATCATTATTTCATGGCTGTTTGATTTAAGTCAGTTCTACTTCACTTTTTTTATCTTGATTTCATTTTTTCTTTCTTTTCTTGGAGAATGTAATTTTTTTGAGTCAAGAGGGTTGTGGTGGTAGAAACTGTAAAGCACATTCGCTGTGTATCAATCCCAATCCAGTCTTCCCAGAGAAGACTCTAAACACCTCCTGGAATGTACCTGGGCCTATACCAATTCCTATCACTCACCGTCACTCCAGGGAGACAGAACACACAGAGAACACATTACACAGGCAGGTTCATTACTAACAGATAAGCAGCGAGTGACAACAGAAGCCTACATTTCAATGTGAGCCAGTCCCTCAAGGCTCAGAAAAGCTGCTCGAGACATGTGGAGTCACCCCATATGCAGTGTATCTGGGGGAAATCAAAAAGCAGCCCAGCCTGGGTTTTGTACCCTGGAGCCACAGGAAGCACTCAGCTAAAGCACTGCATGACGTCCTCCTCCAGGAAGAACAGGAAGACAGCCCAGGCTGTTCTGGGATGTTCCTCCTGATCTCAGGACTTTGCTGTCTTAGTCCATTTTTGTTGCTCTAAAGGAACACTTGAGCCTGGGTAACTTCTAAAGAAAAGAAATGTGTTTGCCTCACAGTTCTGCAGGCTGTACTGGAAGCATGGCACCAGCATCTATTTCTTGTGACGGCCTCAGGCTGCTCCCGCTCTGGCAGAAGGGAAGGAGGGTCTATCTGTGCAGAGACCACAGAGATCACACGGCAAGAGAGGGAGCAAGGGGGAGGGGGAGCGATGGAGCTTCCAAGTTCTTTTTAACAACCAGCTCTCCAGGAACTAATAGAGGGGGAACTTGCTAACCCCATCTCCTTGGGACAGCATTGATCTGTTCATGATGGATCCACCTCCATGACCCAAACACCTCCCAAGAGGCCCAACCTCCCACCCTGGGGGTTACATTTCAATGTGAGGTTTGAAGTGGTCAAACATCTAAACTAAAGCAGTTGTATCCTCAGCACGTTCTATGGTTACTACAACTGAGAAAGCAGGAGGAAGCTAGGTCTCCCGCCATCTGGGTGCTTGTCCTAAAGAGACGTTGTATGTGGTTACCTGTCAATCAAGAAATGTGAGACAATTCATATAGAGGAACTGCTATGATTAGCTTCTTATTGGTGTCTTGTCTTCCTCCAGGTAACTCCAGATACCTGCACGCTCTGATTGGGACCTCAGTGGTCATCATCCCCTTTGCTATCCTCCTCTTCTTTCTCCTTCATCGCTGGTGTGCCAACAAAAAGAGTAAGTCTCACGAAGCAGAAGCCAGAGAGCTCAGGGCCATGTGGGGAAGCAGGATGGGAGCACTCAGGTGTGTGTTCCTTACAGGCAGGATGGTCCCTGACCCAAGGCAGGAGCCACAGAGGCAGGACTTTCTAGAGAGAGCACCAGACTCCCTGCCCCTGCCTTCAGCTCACAGACCATTGCCTGATTCTGAACCATATCCTCACATCCCCTGCAGCCACTCACATCCAGGAGAAGGTTCCATGACAGGCAGAAAGTGGGAGACAGAATCAATGGGATGGGAACTCAGAGCTATTCATGGGATGGGTCCTTGAGCTCAGAGAGATAGAATGTCTGAGTCTGCTGTTGGCAACTGAGGGACCTCAGGCACCTATGGCCTCCCCCTGCATGTTGGTATCTGCTTATGAAATGAGGACCCAGAAGTGCCCTCCGAGCTGTTTTGACGACTTCCGTCTTCTACAGATGCTGTTGTAATGGACCAAGAGCCTGCAGGGAACAGAACAGTGAACAGGGAGGTAGGTGCTCCTCAGCCCAGCCTCATGGCTAGTCTTATTCCCAAAGAGTCCTGAAAAATGTGAGCACCCTCCCTCACTCAGCATTTCCCTCCCTCCAGGACTCTGATGAACAAGACCCTCAGGAGGTGACATACGCACAGTTGAATCACTGCGTTTTCACACAGAGAAAAATCACTCGCCCTTCTCAGAGGCCCAAGACACCCCCAACAGATACCAGCGTGTAACACGGAACTTCCAAATGCTGAGCGCAGATCCAAAGTTGTCTTCTGTCCACCAGCACCACAGTCAGGCCTTGATGGGATCTTCTAGGGAGACAATAGCCCTGTCTCAAAACCGGGTTGCCAGCTCCCATGTACCAGCAGCTGGAATCTGAAGGCGTGAGTCTGCATCTTAGGGCATCGCTCTTCCTCACACCACGAATCTGAACATGCCTCTCTCTTGCTTACAAATGTCTAAGGTCCCCACTGCCTGCTGGAGAGAAAACACACTCCTTTGCTTAGCCCACAATTCTCCATTTCACTTGACCCCTGCCCACCTCTCCAACCTAACTGGCTTACTTCCTAGTCTACTTGAGGCTGCGATCACACTGAGGAACTCACAATTCCAAACATATAAGAGGCTCCCTCTTAACACGGCACTTAGATACATGCTATTCCACCTTTCCTCATGTTGTTCCACCTTTCCTCAGAGTATCTTTCAGCCTTCTGTCAGCAGTAAAACTTATAAATTTTTTTTATAATTTCAATGTAGTTTTCTATTCTTCAAGTAAACATGTCTGCCCTCATGGTTTCGTCAATGGGACTCTTTTCTTGCCTAAGGCTTCCGGTGTTATCATTACCACGTCCACATAACCCCATCTGTTCTCCGCTGGGTTCTCACCCCTGGACTCTGAGCTTCTGGAAGCAGGGTGGAGCCTGAATTGTCTCTGAGACTCCAGTTTCCATCCAAAGATGCAGCACATAGGAGGTTCCAAGGATGGTGAATCAGATGAACAAGTGATATTCTTACTCTCTGCAGATCTGGAAAGCTGGCAGAGTCATTCCACGATGAAACATTTGTAGAGTCATAGGCCTTGTTAGTCTCATCTCCACAGGGACACGTATCAACACATCATCTTTCATACTACTATAAATAGACAGTCACTCCTCCATATCTCTGGGGTTTACACATGTTTATTGAATCAGCAATAAATCAAAAATATTTTGAGAAAAAAAATCCCCGAAGTTTCAAAAAGCAAAAAACTATGTTGAATCGACACAAATTGAGTGGCGTGTAGGCTGTGTCAGGAATTATAAGTAATCAAGAGATGATTTCATGTATACAGGAGGATGTGCATGGGTTCTATGCAATTGCTATGCTATTTTTTTTTTTGAGACAGTCTCACTCTCTCACCCAGGCTGGAGTGCAGTGGCGTGATCTCAACTCACTGCAACCTCCGCCTTCCAGGTTCAAGCGATTCTCTTCCCTCAGCCTCCTCAGTAGCCTCCCCTAGGATTACAGGCACGTGCCACCCTGCACAGATAAATTTTTTTGTGTGTGTATTTTTAGTAGAGACGGGGTTTCAGAATGTTGGACCAGCTGGTCTTGAACTCCTGACCTTGTGATCTACCCAGCTCAGCCTCCCAAAGTGCTGGGATTACGGGCGTGAGCCACGGTGCCCAGCTTCACTATGCCATTTCATGCAAGGGGCTTGAGCATCTGCAGATTTTGGTATCTGAATGGGGATCCTGGAACCAATCACCCAGGTATAGTGAAGGACCATGGTATATAATTTTTATTTGTCAATCTTAAAAATAAAGCATAAAAAATTTACAACAACAAGATAAAAAATAAGAAGTGTTTTTATAGTGTGAGGATAAGTTTAGATTTATTTTTTCCTACGTGTAACCCTATGGTCCTGTGTTATTTGTTGAGAAAATATTCTATTCCACCTTAAACTACATGGCAGCCTTTGTCAACTATAAAGGGACTGTGTATCCACAGATGTATTTTAGACACAGTTTTCTGTCCAGTGGTTCTCTGTATCCCCTCTCATGAGGATGCTGCATTTTATATAAACTTATAGAACCCCTTAAAATTTGGTAACCTGAGTCCTCTGATTTGTTATTATAGGTTATTTAGTTTGCTTTTTTTTTTTCTTGAGACAGACTCTTCCTCTGTCACCCAAGCTGGAGTTCAGTGGCTTGAGCTCAGCTCACTGCAACCTCCGCCTCCCAGGTTCAAGCTATTCTGATGCCTCTGGTTTAGTACTAGAAACTCAAGCAGGAAAATTAGAATGGCTTCTTGTCACAATTACTCTGATAATGTTAATAATACCTGTTAGACATTTTGCACATTACATATGAAGAAGAGTTTGAATCTCAGATAAAAACAAAAATACATCAAAAATCTTTAATGTAAGCACAGAATTCAATCATCTCGTGTATGAGAGGTTGGATCTGAGACGTCTTTTGAGTCTGGTCGTAGTGAAGGACGCAAGGTGTCAATTCTAGTGAGAACAATTTCCAGGAAGCCATGTTCCGCTCTTGAGCGAGCACCCACTGGGCCTCATGCAAGGTAGAAAGAGCCTGCGTACGTCACCCTCCCATGATGTGGTCAACATGTAAACTGCATGGGCAGGGCGCCAAATAACATCCTGTGCGCTGCTGAGCTGAGCTGGGGCGCGGCCGCCTGTCTGCACAGACAGCACCATGTCGCTCATGGTCGTCAGCATGGCGTGTGTTGGTGAGTCCTGGAAGGGAATCGAGGGAGGGAGTGCGGGGATGGAGATCGGGGCCCAGAGTTGGAGATATAGGCCTGGAAGTGGAGTTATGGGCCTAGAGATGGAGTGATGGGCCTAGAAGTGGAGATCTGGGCCTGGAGTGGAGATATGGGCCTGGAGGTTGAGATATGGGCCTGCAGTAGAGATATGGGCTTGTAGTGGAGACATGGGCCTGGAGATGGAGATATGGGCCTGGAGATGGAGATATGGGCCTGCAGTAGAGATATGGGCCTGGAGTGGAGATATGGGCCTGGAGTGGAGATATGGATCTGGAGGTGGAGATACGGGCCTGCAGTAGAGATATGGGCCTGGAGTGGAGATATGGGCCAGGAGTGGAGTTATGGGCCTAGAGGTGGATATCTGGGCCTGGAGTGGAGATATGGGCCTAGGAAGGAGATATGGGCCTGGGTGTGGAGATATGGGACTGGAGAGGTGATATGGGCCTGGAGTGGAGATATGGGCTTAGGGTGGAGATCTGGGCCTGGGGCAGAGATATGGGACTGGATTGGAGATATGGGCCTAGGGTGGAAATATCAGCCTGGAGTGGAGATATGGGCTTGTGGTGGGGATCTGGGCCTGGAAACTGGGTCTCTGCACAGCCGACAGCCCTGTTCTTGGGTGCAGGTAGGCACTGAGGGTGAGTTTAACTTCAGCCCAGGAAGGGCCTGGCTGCCAAGACTCACAGCCCAGTGGGGGCAGCAAGGGAGTCCTGGTTTGCCTGCAGATGGATGGTCCATCATGATCTTTCTTTCCAGGGTTCTTCTTGCTGCAGGGGGCCTGGCCACATGAGGGTGAGTCCTTCTCCAAACCTTCGGTTGTCATCTCCCCACATAAGAGGATTTTCCTGAAACAGGAGGGAAGTCCTGTCAGGGAGTCTCTCATAAACTGGGAAGAGAGGACCCTGGGGTGCTCGGCCCACATTTCTGACCTTGCCTCCCTGGCCTCTCAACCCCTTGGCAGAGTCAAGTTCTGTGGGGACCAGGGTTAGACTGGGGTGCTCAAAGCTGGGGTGTGTGGTGGGGAAGTGGTAGGAACAGCAGATCCTCTGAGGACAAAGGTGTTACTCACACACTTCAGCGTTTCCATGATGGTAGGGGCTGCAGTGTGGCTGCTGTCATTCTACCAGAAGAGGTGGGAAACCACAGCCATGGCCCTGACATTCCAAATCCTCTGATGGGGGCTCAGTTGTTTATTTTCGTTCAGGCATCCGCTGATATCCACTCACAAAGGACATGCCCTCCACCTCATGTCTACCCTGTGTTGTTTTATGTGAGTAATCTTACAGTATTAAAATCTAGTAGGAGTCTCTTTACTCAGCACTTGCTCAAAGTTCTCAGCTGAGGCTTTTGTTGTAGGGAGACACCATGTCTTTGCGGGATGGGTCCTTCCTTCAGCCCTGGGCACCAAGGTGTGATAGTAGCCATAGAAACGTGGAAAGCGAGGAGAATCTTCTGAGCACAGGGAGGGAGGGGCAGTTCCACATCCTCCTCTCTAAGGCGGCGCCTCCTTCTCCCCAAGGTGGTCAGGACAAGCCCTTGCTGTCTGCCTGGCCCAGCCTTGTGGTGCCTCTAGGACATGTCATTCTTCGGTGTCACTCTTATCTTGGGTTTAACAACTTCAGTCTGTACAAGGAAGGTGGGGTGCCTGTCCCTGAGCTCTACAACAGAATATTCTGGAACAGCCTTTTCATGGGCCCTGTGACCCCCGCACAACAGGGACATACAGATGTCGGGGTTCACACACACACTCCCCCAGTGGGTGGTCAGCACCCAGCAACCCCCTGGTGATCGTGGTCATAGGTCAGAGGGCTCCTGTCTTGGATTCTCCTTGTCCCACCTCCTGAATCCCAGAGCTTCTGGTGGGCATGTCCTTGAGGGTCCCATCACGCAGGCCCTGACTGTATTTGTGGTAAAGGGGGATTGAATACAGGGAAATGGGTGCTGTGGTGGGAAGAATAATTGTCCCCAGTGATGACTACATTCTAATCCCTGGAGTCTGTGACTATGTATGTTATAGGGGAAGGGACTGAAGGGGAAGATGGAGCTCATGGGGAGACAGCCTGGACTGTCCCACTGGGCTCAGTGTAATCACAAGGGTGCACATGAAAGGAGGAGGAAGAGGGGAGTGGGGATTAGAGCAGTCCAGTGGAAGTCTTCACCAGCTTTGAAGGTGGAGGAAGGCCAAGAGCCATGAATGCAGGTGGCCTATAGAGGCTGGAAAAGTCAAGGAACTGATTCTCCAGAGTCTCCAGAGGAAACGAAGCCCTGCAGATGCCTTGATTTTAGCCCAGGAAAAATAGGGTCCAATTTCTGTCTCCAGTACTGGAAGGTGTCAGTGTGGTCTCTCCTGCTTCCATGCTTCTGATAATTTTGTACAGCAGCAACAGGAAACCAACACTGGAACCCAGGTCAAGGACAAGTTAAGAAACAACCCAAGGAAAGCCAGGCATGGTGGCAGGCGCATGTAATCCTAGCGACTCAGGAGGCTGAGGGCAGGAGAATCACTTGAACCCAGGAAACAGAGGTTGCAGTGAGCCTAGACCACACCACTTCACTCCAGCCTGGGTGAAGGAGTGAGACTCTGTCTCCAAAATTAATTAATTAATTAAAGAAACCAAACAAGGAGAAGGTTGGCTACCCTGAGATCAGCAAGGGTGGGATGATGATGCCACCACCAGGCTCCATCCACATAGGGAGGGGTTGATACTCCTCCAACCAGCACCAGGAGCCAGCCTATGGAAGCTGGCACCATGGAGAAGGCACAGGCATGGCAAGAGTGGCTCCCAGTCCCGACCAGGAACAGGGTGTGTGGACACTGGTGCCTGCCTTATTCATCAGTTCATACCTTCTGCCAAGGATTGCAATTCATCCAAAAGAGATTGAACAAGGCTGATAAGAGCCTGGATGTGCAGCCTATCCTGGTTCCTCTTTCACCCCCACATAAACAGCAGGAAAGACGTTAGTGTGAAATAGATACAACACCCCAAGAGATGAGGCTAAGCCCAGTGGGAAGGGAATCAGAGGCTACTAGAGACAGAGGGACAGAGAAGAGGGAGGGAGACAGATGGAAGGACCTGCACCAGGAGTTATGGGCACAGAAAAGAACATGAAGACACAGAGAGGAAGGAGAGAGACAGACACCAGCAAGGGGAAGCCTCACTCATTCTAGGTGCCATGGATGGGATGATAAAGAGAGACACCTTCTAAACTCACAACCTCTCTTCTTAGGAGTCCACAGAAAACCTTCCCTCCTGGCCCACCCAGGTCCCCTGGTGAAATCAGAAGAGACAGTCATCCTGCAATGTTGGTCAGATGTCAGGTTTGAGCACTTCCTTCTGCACAGAGAGGGGAAGTATAAGGACACTTTGCACCTCATTGGAGAGCACCATGATGGGGTCTCCAAGGCCAACTTCTCCATCGGTCCCATGATGCAAGACCTTGCAGGGACCTACAGATGCTACGGTTCTGTTACTCACTCCCCCTATCAGTTGTCAGCTCCCAGTGACCCTCTGGACATCGTCATCACAGGTGAGAGTGTCCGGACATTCTCATTGTCATTGGGCTGCAGAGTGAATGATCCACGACTTGGAACCCCCAGGTAGTTGTAAGGAAGATGAGCTTGGTATTCTTATGGAGAGAGACTGACTTGCTGAGGTTTGTACCAACAGAGACAGAGAAACAGGAGACACAAGTACAGACCAGGTGTCATAACGGAGGACAGACACAGGGGCCATACAGGGAGTTAGAAAAGACAGAAAGAGTTAAAGGAGACAGACAGACAGACATGTCCCAGAGAGAGGTGTCCCTCCATGCTGACTTTGCTCACAGACCTGGCACAGGATAGAAGTTTCATTTCTGTTTTACCTCCACAAAGTGTTCTCTACCAGGAGAACCCAAGGACACCCATATTTCTGACCTGAGTTGGGCCCTGTGGCCTCAGGCCTTGTGGCACCTACAGGCCATGTTTATTCTGACACCTCTGCCTTCCATGTAATGGAGAGTAACCGTCCCAGGATATCATGGCCCCAGAACACCAACCCCTGTATGCTGTGTGAACTTGTGGTCTCCAGACTGGATTCTGAGGCTCACATTCCAAATAACCCCACATATGAAAGGATCACTGAGAGGCACAGAGAGAAATCAGGAACACCAAAAAGCAAAGACATAAACACACAGAGAATGGGCCAGAGGAAGGAGATTGAGAGACTCACTGACACATAAAGAGAGAGAAAAGAGGGCAGAGGAGTGGTGAGAATGATGGAAGGGAGCAGAGAAAAGCACTAAAATTAGAGTCCTGAGGGAGAGGCACAAGGACATAGAAAGATGGAGATGTGGGGATGAACTGCAGAGATTCCAAAGAGAACTAGAGAGACCGAGAGGCAGAGCAAGACAGATGATAGATGGATAGATATAGATAGATGATAAATAGGTAGATGATAGATAATAGGTTAAAGATACATAGATGATGATTGATTGATTCATTAATAGATAATACATAGAGATGATGATGATGAAGACAGATAGATAATACGTACAGATAGAGAGGCAGACAGAAATCATAGAGAGAGAGATGATACATACATATAAATAACAGATGATTGATGGATAGATAGACAACTGATAGATACATAGATGATATATAGATATAGATGACAGGTAGAGAATTTGTAGATAGGCACCGAATAGATAAATAGATAGATCGACAGATAATAGATAGAAATATGCAGAAAGTTATGAACAGGACACAACGTGAGAAACTTAGAATTTAAAAAAGTAACATCAAGTCAACCAATCCAAGGAGAGTCAGAGAGAATAAAAGAATCCAAAAAGGGAAAACATATCTAGAGGTGGGGAAGCGAGGTCAGAGACCTAGAGAGACAGAGAAGGTGGAAGGAGGAAATAGACATGAAGAGAGATGGGGTGGAGGGTGAGAGAGAGAGAGAGAGAGCATTAGGTCATAGAGCAGGGGAGTGAGTTCTCAGCTCAGGTGAAGGGAGCTGTGACAAGGAAGATCCTCCCTGAGGAAAATGCCTCTTCTCCTTCCAGGTCTATATGAGAAACCTTCTCTCTCAGCCCAGCCGGGCCCCACGGTTTTGGCAGGAGAGAGCGTGACCTTGTCCTGCAGCTCCCGGAGCTCCTATGACATGTACCATCTATCCAGGGAGGGGGAGGCCCATGAACGTAGGTTCTCTGCAGGGCCCAAGGTCAACGGAACATTCCAGGCCGACTTTCCTCTGGGCCCTGCCACCCACGGAGGAACCTACAGATGCTTCGGCTCTTTCCGTGACTCTCCCTATGAGTGGTCAAACTCGAGTGACCCACTGCTTGTTTCTGTCACAGGTGAGGAAACCCCATATCTGTCTCATGTCCTATGATCCTAGAGCCTTAGCTGAGGAGCTTCCTGCTGATGATGGAGAGAAGCATGGACAGATGCAGAGAGAAGACGAAGCTTGGGTGTGAGGGAGGGATCAGGGCACAGGATGGCAGACAGGGCACCTCCAAACCCTCCTACACGGCCTGCATGAAGGCCCGCGGCCAGGGCTCCAGGCACACAGGCAGATGGAGAAAACGGTCAGGAGAGACCCAGAGGAGAGAGACTGGGCTCAGTTTGGGAAGATCAGAGGTTCCCTCAGCCCCTCAACATTATCCATTTCCCAGAAGCCCATCCTGGCCTCTCACCCACACAGGGATGTCATCACCAGCAACCCCTACACCCTTTACTTTTGTTTGAAGAAATATTTATTGAGGATAAATATACCTATATAGCTTACCACCTTTAACATTTTTTTTTTTTTTGAGGCAGAGTCTAGCTCTGTCCCCTATGCTGGAGTGCAGTGGCACAATCTCAGCTCACTGCAATTTCCGCCTCCTGGGTTCAAGCGATTCTCTTGCCTCAGCCACCTGAGTAGCTGGTGCTACAGGCGCGCACCACCACGCCAGGCTACTTTTTGTATTTTTAGTAGAGAGGTGGTTTCACCATGTTGGTCGAGCTGGTCTCCAACTCCTGACCACGTGATCCACCCGCATGTGCCTCCCAAAGTGCTGGGATTACAGGCATGAGCCACCACGCCCAGCCACATTTACCATTTTTAAGTGTAAAGTCTAGTGGTCATAAATACATTTATATATATATATATTTTTTTTTTTTTTTTACCCTCCACCCTTTTCTTCCTGGCCTCTGGAAGCCATCATTCTACTCTCTACCTTCATGAGATCCACCTTTTAGCTCTGTATATGGGTGAGAAATGGGAATCTTTGTAATGACTTCCAGTTCCATCCATGTGGCTGCAAATATCAGGATGTTATTCTTTCTATGGATGAGTAGTCTCCACTGTGCGTATGTACTACATTCTCTCTATCCATTCATCCACTGATGGGCAGGTAGGTTGACTCCACATCTTGGCTACTGTGAACAGTGCTGCACCAATCATACGAGTGCAGATATCACTTCGATATATTGATTTACTTTCCTTTGGATATAAACCCAGTAGTGAAATTGCTGGATACTATGAAAGTTCTCTTTTTAGTTTTTCGTTTGTTGTTTTGTTTTTGTTTTTGAGACAGTTTCCCTCTGTGCCCAGGCTGGAGTACAAGTGATGTCATCTTGGCTCATTGCAACCTCTGCCTCCTGGGTTCAAATGATTTTCCTGCCTCAGCCTCCCTAGTAGCTGGGATTACAGGTGCACGCCACCATGCCTGGCTACTTTTTGTTTTTTTTAGTATAGATGGGGTTTCCCCATGTTGGCTGGGCTGCTCTCAAACTCATGACCTCAACTGAGATGCCCGCCTCAGTCTCCCAAAGTGCTGGGATTACAGGCCTGATCCACCACACCCAACCTCTTTTTAGTTCTTTAAAGGACTTCCATACTTTTCTCCGTAATCGCTGTACTAATTTACACTCCTCCCAACAGGGTACCAGGGTTCTCCTTTCTCTACCACCTTGCCAGCATTTCTTTTGCCTGTCTTGCAGCTAAAAGCCATTTTATTTTATTTCATTTTATTTTGAATGGAGTTTTGCTCTTCTCACCCAGGCAGGAGTGCAGTGGCGCTATCTCGGCTCACCACAACCTCCACCTCCCAGGTTCAAGCGATTCTCCTGCCTCAGCCTCCCGAGTAGCTGGAATTACAGGCACACTCCACCACGCCCGACTAATTTTTGTATTTTTAGTAGAGACAGTGTTTCTCTATGTGGGTCAGACTGGTCTCAAACTCCTGACCTTATGAGATTCACCCACCTCAGGCTCTCAAAGTTCTAGGATGACAGACGTGAGCCACCACGCCCGGCCTAAAAGCCATTTTAATGGGGTGAGATGAAAACTCACTTTGATTTTAATTTGCGTTTCTCTGATGATGAGTGATACTGAGCACTTTTTAGTATGTGGGGAAATTTCATGTCTTCTGCTCCTTTTTCAATTAAATCATTTGTTTTATTGAGTTGTTTGAGCTTCTTATATTTCTAGTTATTAATCCCATCTCAGATGCATAGTTTGCACATATTTGCTCCCAATCTGTGGGTTGTCTCTTCACTTTGTTGGTTTATTTTTAGCAGTGCAGAAGTTGCTTAGTTTGAGGTAATCCCAATGGTCTATTTTTGCTTCGATTACTTGTGTTTTCAAGGTTTAAAACAAAATGTCTTTCTTCAGACAAATGTCCTGGAGCATTTCCCCAATATTTTGTTCTACGTGTTTCATAGGTTCAGGCCTTAGACTCACATCTTTAATCCATTTTCATTTGATTTTTGTGTATGGTGACAGGTAGAGGTGCAGTTTCATTCCTCTGCATGTCGATGTCCAGGTTTCCCTGCACTGTTTATTGAAAAGACTGTCCTTTCCTGATTGTGAGTTCTTGGCACCTTTGTCAAAGTCCATTGGATGGGCTGGGCTTGGTGGCTGACACCTGCAATTTCAGCACTTTGGGAGGCCGAGGCGGGTGGATTACCTGAGGCCAGGAGTTCAAGATCAGTCTGGACGACGTGATGAAACATCGTCTCCACTAAAAATATAAAAATTAGCTGAGCATGGTGGTCAGCACCTGTAATACCACTACTCAGGAGTTTGAGGCAAGAGAATGATTGAACCCAGGAGGCTGAGGTTGCAGTGAACTGAGATTGCACCTCTGCACTCCAGCCTGAGTGACAGAGCAAGACTCCATCTCAAAAGAAAAAATAAAAAACCATTGGATGTAAATGCATGGAATATATCTGTGTTATTCATTCTGCTCCGTTGTTCTATGTCCCTTTCTTTATGCCAATGTCATGCTGTTTTGCTTACTACAGCTCTGTAACATATTTTGAGATCAGGTAGTGTGATGCTCCTGTTTTCTCTTTATACCTTGAAGTCTCAAGACAGTGGGCGTCACATAAAAAAATTATGGAAAAAAGGATCCCAGGACTCCCAGGGCCCAATATTAGATAACAGAGTGTTGGCCATGAACCATCCTCAAAGATTTCCACTGAGTAGAGGACAGACACCCTCATTTCCTCACCTCTCTCCTGTCTCATGTTCTAGGAAACCCTTCAAATAGTTGGCCTTCACCCACTGAACCAAGCTCCAAAACCGGTGAGTACAGAACCCTCTTATATCCGCTTTTGGAAACCTGGGGAGGTGGAAACCTTGGATTCAGGCGTTGACTCAGCATCTCACAGCTCTGACATTGTACCCCTGTCTTCCACCATCTCCGAACTCCAGATACTCCTACAGCGAAAGGGATCTGGGTCCAACACAGGGCTCAGTGAAATCTCTTCATCTCTCATTTTATGGAGCTGAGACTTCCTACAAGCTAGAAGAATGATTGCCAATCTGACATCCTTCTCAGGAAAAATGCAATGTTTGTTCTGCCTGCATTCCTAACTGGAGGATAAATTCCTGGAGACTTGAGAGAGGGAAGGGAAGGGAACATCTGATGAGGGCGAGGTGTTTTAGAGAAGTTCCACTTGCCAAGGAATGAGCTCCTATAGGTCATGAAGCAACCCTGGCTGACTCAGCAGAGAAAGAGCCTTGCTGTAACAGAGAACAGAGCTCATGCACGCACACTTCGACTCACTGACTCATTCAGCCACGGCCCCATGCTCAGGCTGTGCACTGTGGAAGCTTTTCCTATTGTTGCCATAACAAATTTCCACAAGATTCGTGGGTGAAAACAAAACGGTTTTTTAATTATCTTACAGTGCTGTAGCTCAAAGTATGAAGTGCATCTCACTGGGCTAAAATCAAGGTGACAGCAAGGCTGCCTTCCCTCTGAGGATTCCAGGCAAGAATCTGCTTCTCACTTTTCTCAGCTTCTAGAGGCTCCCACATTCCTTCGCTCCTGGTCCCCTTCCTCCTTCCTCAAAGCCCACAAAGACTGGTCACATCTCACATGGCATCACTCAGACCCTTCTTCCTTACCACACCTCTTTCTCTGAATGCTGCTCTCCCTTCTTCCTCATCTTTTGAAAACTTGGGGATTCTATTGGGTTCACCAAGATGAAAATCCATCATAATCTCCCGGAAATCATTCAGGATACCCTTGTTTTAAGTTCAGCTGATTAGCAACCATAATTCCATCTGCAATCTTCATTCCTCCTTTCCATGTAAAATAAGATATTCACAAGCTATGGAGGCTAGGACAGGGACATTTTGGGGTGGGACAGCATTCTCCTGCCTTCCACAAACAGTGAACAAGATGCATTTGGCCTCTGCTCTTTGGACACTGATATTGCAGATGGTTAAATGGGAGGGCAGAAAATGAATGCACAAGTGGACCAATAAATGAATGATCCATTGGGAAGCATCTGTGTATGAAATCTATTTGTTTGTTTCTTCATTTGTTTATTGAGACAGAGTCTCCCTCTGTCTTCCAGGCTACAGTGCAGTGTCACCATCTTGGCTCACTGCAACCTGCACCTTCTGGATCCAAGTGATTCTCCTGCGTCAGCCTCTCAAGTAGCTGGGATTACAGGCAACTGCCACCATGCCCGGCTAATTCTTTTTGTATATTTTTTGTAGAGGATGTTTCACCATCTTCGCCAAGCTTCTCTGAAACTCCCAACCTCAAGTGATCCGACCGTCTCAGCATCCTAAAGTACTGGGATAACTGGCGTGAGCCACTGTGCCCAGCCAGAATTTAAAATAAATAATACATAATGCTGAGTGTATGATTTTGGGTGACAGAGAAGATCTCACTAATCAGATATTTGTGACATTAATGAAAAACACGGATTGAACCCCTGAAAGATTGGCGGAAGGATTTTCCACACACAGCTGTCAGCCGTGAAGGCAGAAAGCTGAAAACAATCTGATGTGGAAGGAAGAGGCTCTGCCTCAAATGCTGGGAATGAGGTGGGGAGAATGACAAGACGACTGTGGAGAGACGGAGAGCACACTGGGTACACAGGAAACTAAGGAGCAACAAGGAGTGTGTGTTTGACACTCACAGCCATTGGATTCACCTCGGGGTAGCCAGGAATCCCTACATGATTAATAGTGACTGACATGAAAATAAGGGAGGCCCAGGTGCATAACTGGAATCTAGGAGACTGTGGAAAAGGCAATTCCCGCCCCACTGGTGAAATGTGGTGCTGATTTAGACCCTAACTGGGTGAAGCAGATGGATATAAGCTATGCTTGTGAGGTGGAATCATTGGCTGGAAAGGCTTGCTGGGTATGATTTTCCTAGTTGTCTAATCCTCGCTTAATTTCTTTCTGAGCTTTATTCCTACTACACATAAATCAATACCTGGCAAAGGAGTGACAGATATATGAGGGGTGGTGGAAATGAAGGGACCTATTATAGCATAATATACAAGTCTGTGAACGGTGGCTCACGCCTGTAACCCAGCACTGCAGGAGGCCAAGGCGGGTGGATCACATGAAGTCAGCAGTTCGAGACCAGCCTGGCCAACATGGTGAAACCCTGTCTCTAGGAAAAACACAAAAATTAGCCGAGCATGGTGGTGCATCCCTGTAATCCCAGCTCCTACTCTGGAGGATGAAGCAGGAGAATGACTTCAACCCAGGAGGTGGAGGTTGCAGTGAGTGGAGATTGCATCACTGCACTCCAGCCTGGGTGACACAAGGAGACTCCGTCTCAAAAAATAAAAATAAGAAATGCATAAATATAAATATAATATAACACATGCAAATGAGAAAGGGACCTGAATTCCAATCATGATTTTTCTATTTCTCTATAATTACTTCTTTGATCCTTTATCTTATCCATTAGGCAATGAGCCTAAAACCTCTTCCCTATTTGGCTTTCTGTGAGCATGAGATCATATAGAAAATGTGAAAGCCCGCTGAATCCTCCAGCACAGATCCTGGAATACACAAAGTGCTCTGTTCATCACAAGAAAACATGCCCTCTCACCCAAATCCCCCACCTCACCCCTACTTCCAATCATCTGTGGAGATTCAGATAGGCCATGGGGAGGTAAATTCTAATACTCCTTGGAGTGAGTCCAGATCTTGGAATCAGAGATTAGCGTCAGCAGTAGCTCCTGCTCCCCTTTCCTACTAATTCACAGGAGGACAGGTGGTATTGAAGCAATAGATGGCCGAGGGGGTGGTCCTTCCCCCAGCCTCTCGGGTAGAACAGCAACCTAACATGTGTCTCCTGAGATCACAAAGAGTAGCACGTTTCACATGGGCTTCAACACTGTTTCCTGGCCATTTGACATAAGAGAATTCTACTTCGCTTTTTTTATCTTGATTTCACTTTTGTTTCCTTTTCTTGGAGAATGCAAGTTGTTTGACTCAAGAATGCCGTGGATGTAGAAATCCTAAAGCACAGTCGCTGTGTATCAATCCCAGTGCAGTCTTCCCAGAGAAGACTCTAAACACCTCCTGGACTGCACCTGGGCCTATGCCAATTCCTATCACTCACCGTCACTCCAGGGAGACAGAACACACAGAGAATACATTACACAGGCAGGTTCATTACTAACAGATAAGCAGCGAGTGACAACAGAAGCCTACATTTCAATGTGAGCCAGTCCCTCAAGGCTCAGAAAAGCTGCTCGGGACATATGGAGTCACCCCATTTGCAGTGTAGCTGGGGGAAGCCAGAAAGCAGCCCAGCCTGGGTTTTGTACCCTGGAGCCACAGGAAGCACTCAGCTAAAGCACTGCATGACGCCTTCCTCCAGGAAGAACAGGAAGACAGCCCAGGCTGTTCTGAGACATTCCTCCTGATCTCAGGTCGTTGCTGTCTTAGTTTTTTTTTTTGTTGCTCTGAAGGAACACTTGAGCCTCGGTAACTTCTAAAGAAAAGAGATCGGTTTGCCTCACAGTTCTGCAGGCTGTACTGGAAGCATGGCACCAGAATCTATTTCTCGTGATGGCCTCAGGCTGCTCCCACTCTGGCAGAAGGGAAGGAGGGTCTGTCTGTGCAGAGACCACAGAGATCACACGGCAAGAGAGAGAGTAAGGGGGAGAGGGAGCAATGGAGCTTCCAAGCTCTTTTTAACAACCAGCTGTCCAGGAACTAACAGAGGGGGAACTTGCTAACCCCGTCTCCTTGGGACAGCATTGATCTGTTCATGATGGATCCACCTCCATGACCCAAACACCTCTGAAGAGGCCCAACCTCCCACAATGGGGGTGAAATTTCAATGTGAGGTTTGAAGGGGTCAAACATCTCAACTAAAGTAGTTGTATCCTCAGCACGTTCTATGGTTACTATGAGAGCTATAATTGAGAAAGCAGGGGAAAGCTAGGTCTCCCGCCATTTGGGTGCTTGTCCTAAAGAGACGTTGTATGTGGTTACCTGCCAATCAAGAAATGCGAGACAATTCATAAAGAGGAACTGCTATGATTAGCTTCTTATTGGTGTCTCCTCTTCTTCCAGGTAACCCCAGACACCTGCATGTTCTGATTGGGACCTCAGTGGTCAAAATCCCTTTCACCATCCTCCTCTTCTTTCTCCTTCATCGCTGGTGCTCCAACAAAAAAAGTAAGTCTCACGAAGCAGAGGCCAGAGAGCTCAGGGCCATGTGGGGAAGCAGGATGGGAGCACTCAGGTGTGTGTTCCTCACCAGCAGGATGGTCCCTGGCCCAAGACAGGAGCCACAGAGGCAGGACTTTCTAGAGAGAGCACCAGATTCCCTTCCCCTGCCTTCAGCTCACAGACCGTTGCCTGATTCTGAACTGTACCCTCACGTCCCCTGCAGCCACTCACATCCAGGAGAAGGTTCCATGACAGGCAGAAAGTGGGAGATAGAATCAATGGGATGGGAACTCAGAGCTATTCATGGGATGGGTCCTTGAACTCAGAGAGATAGAATGTCTGAGTCTGCTGTTGGCAACTGAGGGACCTCAGGCACCTATGGCCTCCCCCTGTTTGTTGGTATCTGCTTATGAAATGAGGACCCAGAAGTGCCCTCCGAGCTCTTTTGTTGACTTCCGTCTTCTACAGATGCTGCTGTAATGGACCAAGAGCCTGCAGGGAACAGAACAGTGAACAGCGAGGTAGGTGCTCCTCGGCCCAGCCTCGTGGCTAGTCTTATTCCCAAAGAGTCCTGAAAAATGTGAGCACCCTCCCTCACTCAGCATTTCCCTCTCTCCAGGATTCTGATGAACAAGACCATCAGGAGGTGTCATACGCATAATTGGATCACTGTGTTTTCACACAGAGAGAAATCACTCGCCCTTCTGAGAGGCCCAAGACACCCCCAACAGATACCAGCATGTACATAGAACTTCCAAATGCTGAGCCCAGATCCAAAGTTGTCTTCTGTCCACGAGCACCACAGTCAGGCCTTGAGGGGATCTTCTAGGGAGACAACAGCCCTGTCTCAAAACCGGGTTGCCAGCTCCCATGTACCAGCAGCTGGAATCTGAAGGCATCAGTCTTCATCTTAGGGCATCGCTCTTCCTCACACCACGAATCTGAACATGCCTCTCTCTTGCTTACAAATGTCTAAGGTCCCCACTGCCTGCTGGAGAGAAAACACACTCCTTTGCTTAGCCCACAATTCTCCATTTCACTTGACCCCTGCCCACCTCTCCAACCTAACTAGCTTACTTCCTAGTCTACCTGAGGCTGCAATCACACTGAGGAACTCACAATTCCAAACATACAAGAGGCTCCCTCTTAACACAGCACTTAGACACGTGCTGTTCCACCTCCCTTCAGACTATCTTTCAGCCTTCTGCCAGCAGTAAAACTTATAAATTTTTTAAATAATTTCAATGTAGTTTTCCCGCCTTCAAATAAACATGTCTGCCCTCATGGTTTCGGTAACGAGACTCTTCTCTTGCCTAAGGCTTCCGGTGTTATCATTACCATGTCCACATAACCCCATCTGTTCTCCATTGGGTTCTCAGCCCTGGACTCTGAGCTTCTGGAAGCAGAATGGAGCCTGAATTGTCTCTGAGACTCCAATTTCCATCCAAAGATACAGCACATAGGAGGCTCCAAGGATCGTGAATCACATGAACAAGTGATATTCTTACTCTCTGCAGACCTGGAAAGCTGGCAGAGTCATTCCACGATGAAACATTTGTAGAGTCATAGGCCTTGTTAGTCTCATCTCCACGGGGACACATATCAACATATCATCTTTCATAATATAAATATACAGTCGGTCCTCCATATCTGTGGGGTTTACAGGTGTTTATTGAACCAACAATAAATCAAAAATATTTTGAGAAAAAAATCCCCGAAGTTTCAAGAAGCAAAAAACTATGTTGAATCGACACAAATTGAGTGGCGTGTAGGCTGTGTCAGGAATTATAAGTAATCAAGAGATGATTTCATGTATACAGGAGGATGTGCATGGGTTCTATGCAATTGCTATGCTATTTTTTTTTTTTGAGACAGTCTCACTCTCTCACCCAGGCTGGAGTGCAGTGGCGTGATCTCAACTCACTGCAACCTCCGCCTCCCAGGTTCAAGCGATTGTCTTCCCTCAGCCTCCCCAGTAGCCTCCCCTAGGATTACAGGCACGTGCCACCATGCACAGATAAATTTTTTTGTGTGTGTATTTTTAGTAGAGACGGGGTTTCAGAATGTTGGACCAGCTGGTCTTGAACTCCTGACCTTGTGATCTACCCAGCTCAGCCTCCCAAAGTGCTGGGATTACGGGCGTGAGCCACGGTGCCCAGCTTCACTATGCCATTTCATGCAAGGGGCTTGAGCATCTGCAGATTTTGGTATCTGAATGGGGATCCTGGAACCAATCACCCAGGTATAGTGAAGGACCATGGTATATAATTTTTATTTGTCAATCTTAAAAATAAAGCATAAAAAATTTACAACAACAAGATAAAAAATAAGAAGTGTTTTTATAGTGTGAGGATAAGTTTAGATTTATTTTTTCCTACGTGTAACCCTATGGTCCTGTGTTATTTGTTGAGAAAATATTCTATTCCACCTTAAACTACATGGCAGCCTTTGTCAACTATAAAGGGACTGTGTATCCACAGATGTATTTTAGACACAGTTTTCTGTCCAGTGGTTCTCTGTATCCCCTCTCATGAGGATGCTGCATTTTATATAAACTTATAGAACCCCTTAAAATTTGGTAACCTGAGTCCTCTGATTTGTTATTATAGGTTATTTAGTTTGCTTTTTTTTTTTTCTTGAGACAGACTCTTCCTCTGTCACCCAAGCTGGAGTTCAGTGGCTTGAGCTCAGCTCACTGCAACCTCCGCCTCCCAGGTTCAAGCTATTCTGATGCCTCTGGTTTAGTACTAGAAACTCAAGCAGGAAAATTAGAATGGCTTCTTGTCACAATTACTCTGATAATGTTAATAATACCTGTTAGACATTTTGCACATTACATATGAAGAAGAGTTTGAATCTCAGATAAAAACAAAAATACATCAAAAATCTTTAATGTAAGCACAGAATTCAATCATCTCGTGTATGAGAGGTTGGATCTGAGACGTCTTTTGAGTCTGGTCGTAGTGAAGGACGCAAGGTGTCAATTCTAGTGAGAACAATTTCCAGGAAGCCATGTTCCGCTCTTGAGCGAGCACCCACTGGGCCTCATGCAAGGTAGAAAGAGCCTGCGTACGTCACCCTCCCATGATGTGGTCAACATGTAAACTGCATGGGCAGGGCGCCAAATAACATCCTGTGCGCTGCTGAGCTGAGCTGGGGCGCGGCCGCCTGTCTGCACAGACAGCACCATGTCGCTCATGGTCGTCAGCATGGCGTGTGTTGGTGAGTCCTGGAAGGGAATCGAGGGAGGGAGTGCGGGGATGGAGATCGGGGCCCAGAGTTGGAGATATAGGCCTGGAAGTGGAGTTATGGGCCTAGAGATGGAGTGATGGGCCTAGAAGTGGAGATCTGGGCCTGGAGTGGAGATATGGGCCTGGAGGTTGAGATATGGGCCTGCAGTAGAGATATGGGCTTGTAGTGGAGACATGGGCCTGGAGATGGAGATATGGGCCTGGAGATGGAGATATGGGCCTGCAGTAGAGATAGGGGCCTGGAGTGGAGATATGGGCCTGGAGTGGAGATATGGGCCTGAAGTGGAGATATGGGCCTGGAGGTGGAGATATGGGCCTGGAGGTGGAGATATGGGCCTGGAGTGGAGATATGGGTCTGGAGGTGGAGATACGGGCCTGCAGTAGAGATATGGGCCTGGAGTGGAGATATGGGCCAGGAGTGGAGTTATGGGCCTAGAGGTGGATATCTGGGCCTGGAGTGGAGATATGGGCCTAGGAAGGAGATATGGGCCTGGGTGTGGAGATATGGGACTGGAGAGGTGATATGGGCCTGGAGTGGAGATATGGGCTTAGGGTGGAGTTCTGGGCCTGGGGCGGAGATATGGGACTGGATTGGAGATAGGGGCCTAGGGTGGAGATCTGAGCCTGGATTGGCGATATGGGCCTAGGGTGGAAATATCAGCCTGGAGTGGAGATATGGGCTTGGGGTGGGGATATGGGCCTGGAAACTGGGTCTCTGCACAGCCGACAGCCCTGTTCTTGGGTGCAGGTAGGCACTGAGGGTGAGTTTAACTTCAGCCCAGGAAGGGCCTGGCTGCCAAGACTCACAGCCCAGTGGGGGCAGCAAGGGAGGGCTGGTTCGCCTGCAGATGGATCGTCCATCATGATCTTTCTTTCCAGGGTTCTTCTTGCTGCAGGGGGCCTGGCCACATGAGGGTGAGTCCTTCTCCAAACCTTCGGGTGTCATCTCCCCACATAAGAGGATTTTCCTGAAACAGGAGGGAAGTCCTGTCGGGGAGTCTCTCATAAACTAGGAAGAGAGGACCCTGGGGTGCTCAGCCCACATTTCTGACCTCGCCTCCCTGGCCTCTCAACCCCTTGGCAGAGTCAAGTTCTGTGGGGACCAGGGTTAGACTGGGGTGCTCAAAGCTGGGGTGTGTGGTTGGGAAGTGGTAGGAACAGCAGATCCTCTGAGGACAAAGGTGTTACTCACACACTTCAGCGTTTCCATGATGGTAGGGGCTGCAGTGTGGCTGCTGTCATTCTACCAGAAGAGGTGGGAAACCACAGCCATGGCCCTGACATTCCAAATCCTCTGATGGGGGCTCAGTTGTTTATTTTCGTTCAGGCATCCGCTGATATCCATTCACAAAGGACATGCCCTCCACCTCATGTCTACCCTGTGTTGTTTTATGTGAGTAATCTTACAGTATCAAAATCTAGTAGGAGTCTCTTTACTCAGCACTTGCTCAAAGTTCTCAGCTGAGGCTTTTGTTGTAGGGAGACACCATGTCTTTGCGGGATGGGTCCTTCCTTCAGCCCTGGGCACCAAGGTGTGATAGTAGCCATAGAAACGTGGAAAGCGAGGAGAATCTTCTGAGCACAGGGAGGGAGGGGCAGTTCCACATCCTCCTCTCTAAGGCGGCGCCTCCTTCTCCCCAAGGTGGTCAGGACAAGCCCTTGCTGTCTGCCTGGCCCAGCCTTGTGGTGCCTCTAGGACATGTCATTCTTCGGTGTCACTCTTATCTTGGGTTTAACAACTTCAGTCTGTACAAGGAAGGTGGGGTGCCTGTCCCTGAGCTCTACAACAGAATATTCTGGAACAGCCTTTTCATGGGCCCTGTGACCCCCGCACAACAGGGACATACAGATGTCGGGGTTCACACACACACTCCCCCAGTGGGTGGTCAGCACCCAGCAACCCCCTGGTGATCGTGGTCATAGGTCAGAGGGCTCCTGTCTTGGATTCTCCTTGTCCCACCTCCTGAATCCCAGAGCTTCTGGTGGGCATGTCCTTGAGGGTCCCATCACGCAGGCCCTGACTGTATTTGTGGTAAAGGGGGATTGAATACAGGGAAATGGGTGCTGTGGTGGGAAGAATAATTGTCCCCAGTGATGACTACATTCTAATCCCTGGAGTCTGTGACTATGTATGTTATAGGGGAAGGGACTGAAGGGGAAGATGGAGCTCATGGGGAGACAGCCTGGACTGTCCCACTGGGCTCAGTGTAATCACAAGGGTGCACATGAAAGGAGGAGGAAGAGGGGAGTGGGGATTAGAGCAGTCCAGTGGAAGTCTTCACCAGCTTTGAAGGTGGAGGAAGGCCAAGAGCCATGAATGCAGGTGGCCTATAGAGGCTGGAAAAGTCAAGGAACTGATTCTCCAGAGTCTCCAGAGGGAACAAAGCCCTGCAGATGCCTTGATTTTAGCCCAGGAAAAATAGGGTCCAATTTCTGTCTCCAGTACTGGAAGGTGTCAGTGTGGTCTCTCCTGCTTCCATGCTTCTGATAATTTTGTACAGCAGCAACAGGAAACCAACACTGGAACCCAGGTCAAGGACAAGTTAAGAAACAACCCAAGGAAAGCCAGGCATGGTGGCAGGTGCATGTAATCCTAGCGACTCAGGAGGCTGAGGGCAGGAGAATCACTTGAACCCAGGAAACAGAGGTTGCAGTGAGCCTAGACCACACCACTTCACTCCAGCCTGGGTGAAGGAGTGAGACTCTGTCTCCAAAATTAATTAATTAATTAAAGAAACCAAAGAAGGAGAAGGTTGGCTACCCTGAGATCAGCAAGGGTGGGATGATGATGCCACCACCAGGCTCCATCCACATAGGGAGGGGTTGATACTCCTCCAACCAGCACCAGGAGCCAGCCTATGGAAGCTGGCACCATGGAGAAGGCACAGGCATGGCAAGAGTGGCTCCCAGTCCCCACCAGGAACAGGGTGTGTGGACACTGGTGCCTGCCTTATTCATCAGTTCATATCTTCTGCCAAGGATTGCAATTCATCCAAAAGAGATTGAACCAGGCTGATAAGAGCCTGGATGTGCAGCCTATCCTGGTTCCTCTTTCACCCCCACATAAACAGCAGGAAAGACATTAGTGTGAAATAGATACAACACCCCAAGAGATGAGGCTAAGCCCAGTGGGAAGGGAATCAGAGGCTACTAGAGACAGAGGGACAGAGAAGAGGGAGGGAGACAGATGGAAGGACCTGCACCAGGAGTTAAGGGCACAGAAAAGAACATGAAGACACAGAGAGGAAGGAGAGAGACAGACACCAGCAAGGGGAAGCCTCACTCATTCTAGGTGCCATGGATGGGATGATAAAGAGAGACACCTTCTAAACTCACAACCTCTCTTCCTAGGAGTCCACAGAAAACCTTCCCTCCTGGCCCACCCAGGTCGCCTGGTGAAATCAGAAGAGACAGTCATCCTGCAATGTTGGTCAGATGTCAGGTTTGAGCACTTCCTTCTGCACAGAGAAGGGAAGTTTAAGGACACTTTGCACCTCATTGGAGAGCACCATGATGGGGTCTCCAAAGCCAACTTCTCCATCGGTCCCATGATGCAAGACCTTGCAGGGACCTACAGATGCTACGGTTCTGTTACTCACTCCCCCTATCAGTTGTCAGCTCCCAGTGACCCTCTGGACATCGTCATCACAGGTGAGAGTGTCCGGACATTCTCATTGTCATTGGGCTGCAGAGTGAATGATCCACGACTTGGAACCCCCAGGTAGTTGTAAGGAAGATGAGCTTGGTATTCTTATGGAGAGAGACTGACTTGCTGAGGTTTGTACCAACAGAGACAGAGAAACAGGAGACACAAGTACAGACCAGGTGTCATAACGGAGGACAGACACAGGGGCCATACAGGGAGTTAGAAAAGACAGAAAGAGTTAAAAGAGACAGACAGACAGACATGTCCCAGAGAGAGGTGTCCCTCCATGCTGACTTTGCTCACAGACCTGGCACAGGTTAGAAGTTTCATTTCTGTTTTACCTCCACAAAGTGTTCTCTACCAGGAGAACCCAAGGACACCCATATTTCTGACCTGAGTTGGGCCCTGTGGCCTCAGGCCTTGTGGCACCTACAGGCCATGTTTATTCTGACACCTCTGCCTTCCATGTAATGGAGAGTAACCGTCCCAGGATATCATGGCCCCAGAACACCAACCCCTGTATGCTGTGTGAACTTGTGGTCTCCAGACTGGATTCTGAGGCTCACATTCCAAATAACCCCACATATGAAAGGATCACTGAGAGGCACAGAGAAAAATCAGGAACACCAAAAAGCAAAGACATAAACACACGGAGAATGAGCCAGAGGAAGGAGATTGAGAGACTCACAGACACATAAAGAGAGAGAAAAGAGGGCAGAGGAGTGGTGAGAATGATGGCAGGGAGCAGAGAAAAGCACTAAAATTAGAGTCCTGAGAGAGAGGCACAAGGACATAGAAACATGGAGATGTGGGGATGAATTGCAGAGATTCCAAAGAGAGCTAGAGAGACCGAGAGGCAGAGCAATACAGATGATAGATGGATAGATATAGATAGATGATAAATAGGTAGATGATAGATAATAGGTTAAAGATACATAGATGATGATTGATTGATTCATTAATAGATAATACATAGAGATGATGATGATGAAGACAGATAATACGTACAGATAGAGAGGCAGACAGAAATCATAGAGAGAGAGATGATACATACATATAAATAACAGATGATTGATGGATAGATAGACAACTGATAGATACATAGATGATATATAGATATAGATGACAGGTAGAGAATTTGTAGATAGGCACCGAATAGATAAATAGATAGATCGACAGATAATAGATAGAAATATGCAGAAAGTTATGAACAGGACACAACGTGAGAAACTTAGAATTTAAAAAAGTAACATCAAGTCAACCAACCCAAGGAGAGTCAGAGAGAATAAAACAATCCAAAAACGGAAAACATATCTAGAGGTGGGGAAGCGAGGTCAGAGACCTAGAGAGACAGAGAAGGTGGAAGAAGGAAATAGATATGAAGAGAGATGGGGTGGAGGGTGAGAGAGAGAGAGAGAGAGCATTAGGTCATAGAGCAGGGGAGTGAGTTCTCAGCTCAGGTGAAGGGAGCTGTGACAAGGAAGATCCTCCCTGAGGAAAATGCCTCTTCTCCTTCCAGGTCTATATGAGAAACCTTCTCTCTCAGCCCAGCCGGGCCCCACGGTTCTGGCAGGAGAGAGCGTGACCTTGTCCTGCAGCTCCCGGAGCTCCTATGACATGTACCATCTATCCAGGGAGGGGGAGGCCCATGAATGTAGGTTCTCTGCAGGGCCCAAGGTCAACGGAACATTCCAGGCCGACTTTCCTCTGGGCCCTGCCACCCACGGAGGAACCTACAGATGCTTCGGCTCTTTCCGTGACTCTCCATACGAGTGGTCAAACTCGAGTGACCCACTGCTTGTTTCTGTCATAGGTGAGGAAACCCCATATCTGTCTCATGTCCTATGATCCTAGAGCCTTAGCTGAGGAGCTTCCTGCTGATGATGGAGATAAGCATGGACAGATGCAGAGAGAAGACGAAGCTTGGGTGTGAGGGAGGGATCAGGGCACAGGATGGCAGACAGGGCACCTCCAAACCCTCCTACACGGCCTGCATGAAGGCCCGCGGCCAGGGCTCCAGGCACACAGGCAGATGGAGAAAGCGGTCAGGAGAGACCCAGAGGAGGGAGACTGGGCTCAGTTTGGGAAGATCAGAGGTTCCCTCAGCCCCTCAACATTACCCATTTCCCAGAAGCCCATCCTGGCCTCTCACCCACACAGGGATGTCATCACCAGCAACCCCTACACCCTTTACTTTTGTTTGAAGAAATATTTATTGAGGATAAATATACCTATATAGCTTACCACCTTTAACATTTTTTTTTTTTTTGAGGCAGAGTCTAGCTCTGTCCCCTATGCTGCAGTGCAGTGGCACAATCTCAGCTCACTGCAACTTCCGCCTCCTGGGTTCAAGTGATTCTCCTGCCTCAGCCACCTGAGTAGCTGGTGCTACAGGCGCGCACCACCACGCCAGGCTACTTTTTGTATTTTTAGTAGAGAGGTGGTTTCACCATGTTGGTCGAGCTGGTCTCCAACTCCTGACCACGTGATCCACCCGCATCTGCCTCCCAAAGTGCTGGGATTACAGGCATGAGCCACCACTCCCAGCCACATTTACCATTTTTAAGTGTAAAGTCTAGTGGTCATAAATACATTTATAAATATATATATATATATATGTATGTATATATATATACACACACATATATATACATATATATATGTGTATATATATATATATATATATATATATATATATATATATATATATATATATATTTTTTTTTTTACCCTCCACCCTTTTCTTCCTGGCCTCTGGAAGCCACCATTCTACTCTCTACCTTCATGAGATCCACCTTTTAGCTCTGTATATGGGTGAGAAATGGGAATCTTTGTAATGACTTGCAGTTCCATCCATGTGGCTGCAAATATCAGGATGTTATTCTTTCTATGGATGAGTAGTCTCCACTGTGCGTATGTACTACATTCTCTCTATCCATTCATCCACTGATGGGCAGGTAGGTTGACTCCACATCTTGGCTACTGTGAACAGTGCTGCACCAATCATACGAGTGCAGATATCACTTCGATATATTGATTTACTTTCCTTTGGATATAAACCCAGTAGTGAAATTGCTGGATACTATGAAAGTTCTCTTTTTAGTTATTCGTTTGTTGTTTTGTTTTTGTTTTTGAGACAGTTTCCCTCTGTGCCCAGGCTGGAGTACAAGTGATGTCATCTTGGCTCATTGCAACCTCTGCCTCCTGGGTTCAAATGATTTTCCTACCTCAGCCTCCCTAGTAGCTGGGATTACAGGTGCACGCCACCATGCCTGGCTACTTTTTGGTTTTTTTAGTATAGATGGGGTTTCCCCATGTTGGCTGGGCTGCTCTCAAACTCATGACCTCAACTGAGGTGTCCGCCTCGGTCTCCCAAAGTGCCGGGATTACAGGCATGATCCACCTCACCCAACCTCTTTTTAGTTCTTTAAAGGACTTCCACACTTTTCTCCGTAAAGGCTGTACTAATTTACACTCCTACCAACAGGGTATTAGGGTTCTCCTTTCTCTACCACTTTGGCAGGATTTCCTTTGCCTGTCTTGCAGCTAAAAGCCATTTTACTTTATTTCATTTTATTTTGAGATGGAGTTTCGCTCTTGTCACCCAGGCTGGAGTGCAGTGGTGCGATCTCGGCTCACCACAACCTCCACCTCCCAGGTTCAAGCGATTCTCCTGCCTCAGCCTCCCGAGTAGCTGGAATTACAGGCACACGCCACCACGCCCGACTAATTTTTGTATTTTTAGTAGAGACAGTGTTTCTCCATGTGGGTCAGACTGGTCTCAAACTCCCGACCTTATGAGATTCACCCACCTCAGGCTCTCAAAGATCTAGGATGACAGACGTGAGCCACCACGCCCGGCCTAAAAGCCATTTTAATGGGGTGAGATGAAAACTCACTTTGATTTTAATTTGCGTTTCTCTGATGATGAGTGATACTGAGCAGTTTTTCGTATGTGGGGAAATTTCATGTCTTTTGCTCCTGTTTCAATTAAATCATTTGTTTTATTGAGTTGTTTGAGCTTCTTATATTTCTAGTTATTAATCCCATCTCAGATGCATAGTTTGCACATATTTGCTCCCAATCTGTGGGTTGTCTCTTCACTTTGTTGGTTTATTTTTAGCGGTGCAGAAGTTGCTTAGCTTGAGGTAATCCCAATGGTCTATTTTTGCTTCGATTACTTGTGTTTTGAAGGTTTAAAACAAAATGTCTTCCTTCAGACAAATGTCCTGGAGCATTTCCCCAATATTTTCTTCTACGTGTTTCATAGGTTCAGGCCTTAGACTCACATCTTTAATCCATTTTCATTTGATTTTTGTGTATGGTGACAGGTAGAGGTGCAGTTTCATTCCTCTGCATGTAGATGTCCAGGTTTCCCTGCACTGTTTATTGAAAAGACTGTCCTTTCCTGATTGTGAGTTCTTGGCACCTTTGTCAAAGTCCATTGGATGGGCTGGGCATGGTGACTGACACCTGCAATTTCAGCACTTTGGGAGCCCAAGGCGGGTGGATCACCTGAGGCCAGGAGTTCAAGATTAGTCTGGCCGACGTGATGAAACATTGTCTCCACTAAAAATATATAAATTAGCTGAGCATGGTGGTCAGCACCTATAATACCACTACTCAGGAGTTTGAGGCCAGAGAATTGATTGAACCCAGGAGGCTGTGGTGGCAGTGAACCGAGATTGCACCTCTGCACTCCAGCCTGGGTGACAGAGCGAGACTCCATCTCAAAAGAAAAAAGAAAAAAACATTGGATGTAAATGCATGGATTATATTTGTGTTGTTCATTCTGCTCCATTGTTCTATGTGCCTTTCTTCATGCCAACATCATGCTGTCTTGCTTACTACAGCTCTGTAACATATTTTGAGATCAGGTAGTGTGATGCTCCTGTTTTCTCTTTATACCTTGAAGTCTCAAGACAATGGGCGTCACATACAAAAATTATGGAAAAAAGGATCCCAGGACTCCCAGGGCCCAATATTAGATAACAGAGTGTTGGCCATGAACCAACCTCAAAGATTTCCATTGAGTAGAGGACAGACACCCTCATTTCCTCACCTCTCTCCTGTCTCATGTTCTAGGAAACCCTTCAAATAGTTGGCCTTCACCCACTGAACCAAGCTCTAAAACCGGTGAGTACAGAACCCTCTTATATCCGCTTTTGGAAACCTGGGGAGGTAGAAACCTTCGATGCAGGCATTGACTCAGCATCTCGCAGCTCTGACATTGTACGCCTGTCTTCTACCATCTCCGAACTCCAGATACTCCAACAGCGAAAGGGATCTGGGCCCAACCTAGGGCTCAGTGAAATCTCTTAATCTCTCATTTTATGGAGCTGAGACCTCCTACAAGCTAGAAGAATGATTGCCAATCTGACATCCTTCTCAGGAAAAATGCAATGTTTGTTCTGCCTGCATTCCTAACTGGAGGATAAATTCCTGGGGGCTTGAGAGAGGGAAGGGAAGGGAACATCTGATGAGGGCGAGGTGTTTTAGAGAAGTTCCACTTGCCAAGGAATGAATTACTGTTGGTCATGAAGCAACCCTGGCTGACTCAGCAGAGCAACAGCCTTGCCGTAACAGAGAACGGAGCTCATGCACGCACACTTCGACTCACTGACTCATTCAGCCACGGCCCCATGCTCAGGCTGTGCAGTGCGGAACCTTTTCCTATTGTTGCCATAACAAATTTCCACAAGATTCGTGGGTGAAAACAAAACGGTTTTTTAATTATCTTACAGTGCTGTAGCTCAAAGTAGGAAGTGCATCTTACTGGGCTAAAATCAAGGTGACAGCAAGGCTGCCTTCCCTCTGAGGATTCCAGGCAAGAATCTGCTTCTCACTTGTCCCAGCTTCTAAAGGCTCCCAGTTCCTTGGCTCCTGGTCCCCTTCCTCCTTCCTCAAAACCCACAAAGACTGGTCACATCTCACATGGCATCACTCAGTGCCTTCTTCCTTACCACACCTCTTTCTCTGAATGCTGCTCTCCCTTCTTCCTTATCTTTTGAAAACTTGGGGATTCTATTGGGTTCACCAAGATGAAAATCCCTCATAATCTCCTGGAAATCATCCAGGATACCCTTGTTTTAAGTTCAGCTGATTAGCAACCGTAATTCCATCTACAATCTTCATTCCTCCTTTCCATGTAAAATAACATATTCACAAGGTATGGAGGCTAGGACAGGGACATTTTGGGGTGGGACAGCATTCTCCTGCCTTCCACAAACAGTGAACAAGATGCATTTGGCCTCTGCCCTTGGGACACTGATATTGCATATGGTTAAATGGGAGGGCAGAAAATGAATGCACAAGTGGATCTATAAATGAATGATCCATTGGGAAGCATCTGTGCATGAAATCTATTTTTTGTTTGTTCTTTTGTTTATTGAGACAGAGTTGCCCTCTGTCTTCCAGGCTACAGTGCAGTGTCACGATCTTGGCTCACTGCAACCTGCTTCTCCTGGATTCAAGTGATTCTCCTGCCTCCGCCTCTCGAGTAGCTGGGATTACAGGCAACTGCCACCGTGCCCGGCTAATTCTTTTTGTATATTTTTTGTAGAGAGGATGTTTCACCACGTTGGCCAAGCTTGTCTGAAACTCCCAACCTCAAGTGATCCGACCGTCTCAGCATGCCAAAGTAATGGGACTACAGGCGTGAGCCACTGTGCCCAGCCAGAATTCAAAATCAATAATAGATAATGCTGAGTGTATGATTTCAGGTGACAAAGAAGGTCTCACTATTCAGATATTTGTGACATTAATGAAAAACACGGATTGAACCCCTGAAAGATTGGCGGAAGGATTTTGCACACACAGCTGTCAGCCGTGAAGGCACAAAGGTGAAAACAATCTGATGTGGAAGGAAGAGGCTCTTCCTCAAATGCTGGGAATGATGTGGGGAGAATGACAAGATGACTGTGGAGAGACGGAGAGCACACTGGGTACACAGGAAACTAAGGAGGAACAAGGAGTGTGTGTTTGACACTCACAGCCATTGGATTCACCTCGGGGTAGCCAGGAATCCCTACATGATTAATATGACTGACATGAAAATAAGGGAGGCTCAGTTGCATAACTGGAATCTAGGAGACCGTGGAAAAGGCAATTGCCGCCCCACTGGTGAAATGTGGTGCTGATTTAGACACTAAATGAATGAAGTAGATGGATATAAGATAGGTTTGTGAGGTAGAATCATTGACTGGAAAGGCTTGCTGGGTTTGATTTTCCTACTTGTTTAATCCTCGCTTAATTAATTTCTTTCTGAGATTTATTCATCCTACACATAAATCAATACCTGGCAAAGGAGTGACAGATATATGAGGGGTGGTGGAAATGAAGAGACCTATTATAGCATAATATACAAGTCTGTGAACGGTGGCTCACGCCTGTAACCCAGCACTGCAGGAGGCCAAGGCGGGTGGATCACATGAAGTCAGCAGTTCGAGACCAGCCTGGCCAACATGGTGAAACCCTGTCTCTAGGAAAAACACAAAAATTAGCCGAGCATGGTGGTGCATCCCTGTAATCCCAGCTCCTACTCTGGAGGATGAAGCAGGAGAATGACTTCAACCCAGGAGGTGGAGGTTGCAGTGAGTGGAGGTTGCATCACTGCACTCCAGCCTGGGTGGCACAAGGAGACTCCGTCTCAAAAAATAAAAATAAGAAATGCATAAATATAAATATAATATAACACACGCAAATGACAAAGGGACCTGAATTCCAATCATGATTTTTCTATTTCTCTATAATTACTTCTTTGATCCTTTATCTTATCCATTAGGCAATGAGCCTAAAACCTCTTCCCTATTTGGCTTTCTGTGAGCATGAGATCATATAGAAAATGTGAAAGTCCGCTGAATCCTCCAGCACAGATCCTGGAATAGAGAAAGTGCTCTGGTCATCACAAAAAAAACTTGCCCACTCACCCAAATCCCCCACCTCACCCCTACTTCCAATCACCTGTGGAGATTCAGGTAGACCATGGGGAGGTAAACATTAACACTCCTTGGAGTGAGTCCAGATCTTGGAATCAGAGATCAGCGACAGCACTAGCTCCTGCTCCCCTTTCCTACTAATTCACAGGAGGACAGGTGGTATTGAAGCAATAGATGGCCGAGGGGGTGGTCCTTCCCCCAGCCTCTCGGGTAGAACAGCAGCCTAATATGTGTCTCCCGAGATCACAAAGAGCAGCAGGTTTCACACGGGCTTCAACACTATTTCCTGGCCGTTTGACATAAGAGAATTCTATTTCGCTTTTTTTATCTTGATTTCACTTTTGTTTTCTTTCCTTGGAGAATGCAAGTTGTTTGATTCAAGAATGCTGTGGATGTAGAAACCCTAAAGCACATTCGCTGTGAATCAATCCCAGTCCAGTCTTCCCAGAGAAGACTCTAAACACCTCCTGGACTGCACCTGGGCCTATGCCAATTCCTATCACTCACCGTCACTCCAGGGAGACAGAACACACAGAGAATACGTTACATAGGCAGGTTCATTACTAACAGATAAGCAGCGAGTGACAACAGAAACCTATATTTCAATGTGAGCCAGTCCCTCAAGGCTCAGAAAAGCTCCTCGGGACATATGGAGTCACCCCATTTGCAGTGTAGCTGCGGGAAGCCAGAAAGCAGCCCAGCCTGGGTTTTGTACCCTGGAGCCACAGGAAGCACTCAGCTAAAGCACTGCATGACGTCCTCCAGGAAGAACAGGAAGACAGCCCAGGGTGTTCTGAGACGTTCCTCCTGATCTCAGGAAGTTGCTGTCTTAGGCCATTTTTGTTGCTCTAAAGGAACACTTGAGCCTCGGTAACTTCTAAAGAAAAGAGATTGGTTTGCCTCACCGTTCTGCAGGCTGTACTGGAAGCATGGCACCAGCATCTATTTCTCGTGACGGCCTCAGGCTGCTCCCACTCTGGCAGAAGGGAAGGAGGGTCTGTCTGTGCAGAGACCACAGAGATCACACGGCAAGAGAGGGAGCAAGGGGGAGGGGGAGTGATGGAGCTTCCAAGCTCTTTTTAACAACCAGCTCTCCGGGAACTAATAGAGGGGGAACTTGCTAACCCCGTCTCCTTGGGACAGCATTGATGTGTTCATGATGGATCCACCTCCATGACCCAAACACCTCTCAAGAGGCCCAACCTCCCACAGTGGGGGTGAAATTTCAATGTGAGGTTTGAAGGGGTCAAACATCTCAACTAAAGTAGTCGTATCCTCAGCACGTTCTATGGTTACTATGAGAGCTATAACTGAAAAAGCAGGAGAAAGCTGGGTCTCCTGCCATCTGGGTGCTTGTCCTAAAGAGATGTTTTATGTGGTTACCTGTCAATCAAGAAATGCGAGACAATTCATAAAGAGGAACTGCTAAGATTAGCTTCTTATTGGTGTCTCATCTTCTTCCAGGTAACCCCCGACACCTGCACATTCTGATTGGGACCTCAGTGGTCATCATCCTCTTCATCCTCCTCTTCTTTCTCCTTCATCGCTGGTGCTCCAACAAAAAAAGTAAGTCTCACGAAGCAGAGGCCAGAGAGCTCAGGGCCATGTGGGGAAGCAGGATGGGAGCACTCAGGTGTGTGTTCCTCACAAACAGGATGGTCCCTGGCCCAAGGCAGCAGCCACAGAGGCAGGACTTTCTAGAGAGGGCACCAGACTCCCTGCCCCTGCCTTCAACTCACAGACCGTTGCCTGATTCTGAACTGTATCCTCATGTCCCCTGCAGCCACTCACATCCAGGAGAAGGTTCCATGACAGGCAGAAAGTGGGAGACAGAATCAATGGGATGGGAACTCAGAGCTATTCATGGGATGGGTCCTTGAGCTCAGAGAGATAGAATGTCTGAGTCTGCTGTTGGCAACTGAGGGACCTCAGCCACCTATGGTCTCCCCCTGTATGTTGGTATCTGCTTATGAAATGAGGACCCAGAAGTGCCCTCCGAGCTGTTTTGTTGACTTCCGTCTCCTACAGATGCTGCGGTAATGGACCAAGAGTCTGCAGGGAACAGAACAGCGAATAGCGAGGTAGGTACTCCTCGGCCCGGGCTCGTGGCTACTGTTATTCCCAAAGAGTCCTGGAAAATGTGAGCACCCTCCCTCACTCAGCATTTCCCTCTCTCCAGGACTCTGATGAACAAGACCCTCAGGAGGTGACATACACACAGTTGAATCACTGCGTTTTCACACAGAGAAAAATCACTCGCCCTTCTCAGAGGCCCAAGACACCCCCAACAGATATCATCGTGTACGCGGAACTTCCAAATGCTGAGTCCAGATCCAAAGTTGTCTCCTGCCCATGAGCACCACAGTCAGGCCTTGAGGGCGTCTTCTAGGGAGACAACAGCCCTGTCTCAAAACCGGGTTGCCAGCTCCCATGTACCAGCAGCTGGAATCTGAAGGCATGAGTCTGCATCTTAGGGCATCGCTCTTCCTCACACCACAAATCTGAATGTGCCTCTCACTTGCTTACAAATGTCTAAGGTCCCCACTGCCTGCTGGAGAAAAAACACACTCCTTTGCTTAGCCCACAGTTCTCCATTTCACTTGACCCCTGCCCACCTCTCCAACCTAACTGGCTTACTTCCTAGTCTACTTGAGGCTGCAATCACACTGAGGAACTCACAATTCCAAACATACAAGAGGCTCCCTCTTAACGCAGCACTTAGACACGTGTTGTTCCACCTTCCCTCATGCTGTTCCACCTCCCCTCAGACTAGCTTTCAGTCTTCTGTCAGCAGTAAAACTTATATATTTTTTAAAATAACTTCAATGTAGTTTTCCATCCTTCAAATAAACATGTCTGCCCCCATGGTTTCGGTAATGGGACTCTTTTCTTGCCTAAGGCTTCCGGTGTTATCAGTACCATGTCCATATAATCCCATCTGTTCCCCACTGAGTTCTCATCCCCGGACTCTGAGTTTCTGGAAGCAGGGTGGAGCCTCATTTGTCTCTGAGACTCCAATTTCCATCCAAAGATGTAGCACATAGGAGGTTCCAAGGATCACGAATCATATGAACAAGTGATACTCTTACTCTCTGCAGACCTGGAAAGCTGGCAGAGTCATTCCACAATGAAACATTTGTAGAATCATAGGCCTTGTTAGTCTCATCTCCATGGGGACACATATCAACACATCATCTTTCATAATATAAATATACGGTCACTCCTCCATATCTGCGGGGTTTACAGGTGTTTATTGAACCAAGTATAAATCAAAAATATTGAGAGAAAGTATCCACAGAGTTTCAAAAAGCATAACTATGTTGAATGGACACAAATGAAGCTGTGTGTAGGCTGTATCAGGAATTATAAGTAATCTAGAGATGATTTCATGTATACAGGAGGATGTGCATAGGTTATTTGCAAACTCTGTGCCATTTCATATAAGAGGCTTGAGCATCTACAGATTTTGGTATCTGAGTGGAGATCTCAAAACCAATCACCCACGAATAGTGAAGGATGACCGTATATGACTTTTATTTCTCAAATTTAAATATAAATCATAAAAAATGTACAACTAGATAAAAACTAAGAAGTGTTTTTATAGTGTGAGTTAGATTTATTTTTTCCTAGGTGTAACCAATTGGTTTAATATTATTTATTGAGAAGACATTCTATGCCACCTTAAACCACACGGCAGCCTTTGTCAACTCTAAAGGGACTGTGTGTACATGGATGTATTTTAGACACTGTTTCTGCTAAGGGGCTCTCTGTGTCCACACTCTTGATGATGCTGCACTTTATGTAGCCTTATAGAACCCTTTAAATTTAGTAGCCAGAGCCCTCTAATTTGTTATTATAGGCTGTTTGCTTTTTTTTTCTTGAGGCGGAGTCTTGCTCTGTCGCCCAGGCTGGACTGCAGTGACACAATCTCAGCTCACTGCAACCTCCGCCTCCCAGGTTCAAGCGATTCTCGTGCCTCAGCCTCTTGAGCAGCTGGCGTTACAGGTGCCTGCCACCAGGCACGGCTAATTTTTGGATTTTTAACAGAGACACGGTTTCACTATATTGGCCAAGCTGCTCTCAAACTCCTTATCTCAGTTGATCCGCCCACCTCGGCTTCCCAACGTGCTGGGGAAAACTTGATTTTCTATAGCATTATGTTACTGGATATTTCTGTAAAATTTAAAACGAGGGAGGGAGAGAGACAGACAGAGAGCAAACTCCAGAGTTGGGACTCTGGAATCTTGGGTCATGAGACAAATTTTAGATTAAACTACAAAACTCCAGAATTTACAGGTGTGGTTTTTGCTGATAAAGTACAATTCTAAGATTGTAAATAATTGCATAATCCTTCCCTGGGAATTTAAATCATTTTAGCTGGTTCTGCTGTAATACTAGAAATACAAGCATGAAAAATTCTAATGGTTTATTAGTCACAATGACTCCGAAAACATTAATAATACCTATTAGATACTTTGCATATTACACAGGAAGAAGAGTTTGAATCTCAGATAAAAACAAAAAAAATACATGAAAAGTCTTTCATGTTAGCACAGATTTTAGGCATCTCGTGTTCGGATAAAAATACATGAAAAGTCTTTCACGTTAGCACAGATTTTAGGCATCTTGTGTTCGGGAGGTTGGATCTGAGACGTGTTGTGAGTTGGTCATAGTGAAGGACGTGAGGTGCCAATTCTAGTGAGAACAATTTCCAGGAAGCCGTGTTCCGCTCTTGAGCAAGCATCCACTGGGCCTCATGCAAGGTAGAAAGAGCCTGCGTACGTCACCCTCCCATGATGTAGTCAACATGTAAGCTGCATGGGCAGGGCGCCAAATAACATCCTGTGCGCTGCTGAGCTGAGCTGGGGCGCGGCTGCCTGTCTGCACCGGCAGCACCATGTCGCTCATGGTCGTCAGCATGGCGTGTGTTGGTGAGTCCTGGAAAGGAATAGAGGGAGGGAGCGCGGGGATGGAGATCTGGGCCCAGAGGTGGAGATATAGGCCTGGAGGTGGAGTTATGGGCCTGGAGTGGAGATCTGGGCCTGGAGTGGATATATGGGCCTGGAGATGGAGTGATGGGCCTAGAAGTGGAGATCTGGGTCTGGAGTGGAGATATGGGCCTGGAGGTGGAGATATGGGCCTGGAGTGGAGATCTGGGCCTGGAGTGGAGATAGGAACCTGGAGGGGAGATATGAGCCTGGAGTGAAGATATTGGCCTGGGATGGAGATATGGGCCTGGAGTGGAGACATGGGCCTGGAGGTGGAGATATGGGCCTGGAGGTGGAGACATGGGCCTAGAGGTGGATATCTGGGCCTGGAGTGGACATATGGGCCTAGGATGGAGATATGGGCCTGGGTGTGGAGATATGGGCTTGGGGTGGAGATATGGGCCTGGATTGGAGATATGGGTCTAGGGTGGAAATATTGGCCTGGAGTGGAGATATGGGCCTGGAGTGGAGATATGGGCTTGGGGTGGGGATAGGGGCCTGGGGTGCGGATATGGGCCTGCAGGCTGGGTCTCTACACAGCCGACAGCCCTGTTCTTGGGTGCAGGCTGGCACTGAGGGTGAGTTTCCCTTCAGCCCAGCAAGGGCCTGGCTACCAAGACTCACAGCCCAGTGGGGGCAGCAAGGGAGTCCTGGTTTGCCTGCAGATGGATGGTCCATCATGATCTTTCTTTCCAGGGTTCTTCTTGCTGCAGGGGGCCTGGACACATGAGGGTGAGTCCTTCTCCAAACCTTCGGGTGTCATCTCCCCACATAAGAGGATTTTCCTGAAACAGGAGGGAAGCCCGGTGGGGGATTTTCTTATAAACAAGGATGAGGAGACCCTGGGGTGCTCAGCCCACAGTTCCGACCTTGCCCTCCCCAGCCTTCCTTTCCCTTGGCTGAGTCAGGTTCTGTGGGAACCCGGGAGGGTAGACTGGGGTCCTCCAAGCTGGGCTGTGCGGCTGGGATGTGGTGTCACTGGCAGAGGAAGGGAGCAAAGCAGTGCTAGGAACAGCAGGCCTCTGAGGACAAAGGTGTAACTCACACCCTCCAGCGTTTCCATGACGGTAGGGGCTGCAGTGTGGCTGCTGTCATTCTACCTCAGAGGTGGGGGAACCCCAGCCAGGGCCCTGACCTTCCAAATCCTCTGTTGGGGGCTCAGTTGTGTATTGTGGTTCACACATTGGCTGATATTCCATTCACAAAGAACATGCCCTCGACTCCATGTCTATTTGTGTTGTTTTATGTGAGTAATCTTGCAGGATTAAAATCTAGTAGGAGTCCCTTACTCAGCACTTGCTCAAAGTTCTCAGCTGACACTTTTGTTGTAGAGAGACGCCAAGTCTATGCGGGGTGGGTCCTTCCTGTAGCCCTGGGCACCCAGGTGTGGTAGGAGCCTTAGAAAGTGGAAATGGGAGAATCTTCTGACACGTGGAGGGAGGGGCGGCTCCACATCCTCCTCTCTAAGGTGGCGCCTCCTTCTCCCCCAGGTGGTCAGGACAAGCCCTTCCTCTCTGCCTGGCCCAGCCCTGTGGTGTCTGAAGGAGAACATGTGGCTCTTCAGTGTCGCTCTCGTCTTGGGTTTAACGAATTCAGTCTGTCCAAAGAAGACGGGATGCCTGTCCCTGAGCTCTACAACAGAGTATTCCGAAACACCGTTTTCATAGGCCCTGTGACCCCAGCACATGCAGGGACCTACAGATGTCGGGGTTCACACCCACACTTCCTCACTGGGTGGTCAGCACCCAGCAACCCCCTGGTGATCATGGTCACAGGTCAGAGGGCTCCTGTCTGGGATTCTCCTTGTCCCACCTCCTGAGTCCCAGAGCTTCTGGTGGGAGTGTCCACCAGCGTCCCATCATCCAGACCCTAACTGTATTTGGGGTAAAAGGGGATTGAATACAGGGAAATGGGTGCTGTGGTGGAAAGAATAATTGTCCCCAATGATGACTGCATTCTAATCCCTGCAGTCTGTGACTATTTATGTTATAGGGGAAGGCACTGAAGGGGAAGATGGAGCTCAGGTTGTTGAGTTGACCTTGAGATGGGGAGACAGCCTGGACTGTCCTGCTGGGCTCAGTGTAATCACAAGGGTGCACATGAGAGGAGAAGGAAGAGGGGAGTGGCGATTAGAGCAGTGCAATGGAAGTCTCCATCAGCTTTGAAGGTGGAGGAAGGCCATGAGCCATGAATGCAGGTGGCCTATAGAGGCTGGAAAAGTCAAGGAACTGATTCTCCTGGGTCTCCAGAGGGAACGCAGCCCTGCAGATGCCTTGATTTTAGCCCTCAAAAAACAGGGTCCGATTTCTGTCTCCAGAAACGGAAGGGGTCAGTGTGCTCTCTCCTGCTGCCATGCTTCTGATAATTTTCCACAGCACCAACAGGAAACCAACACTGGAACCCAGGTCAAGGACAAGATAAGAAAGGACACAAGGATAGCCGGGCGTGGTGGCAGGTGCATGTAATCCTAGCAACTCAGGAGGCTGAGGGCAGGAGAATCACTTGAACCCAGGAGACAGAGGTTGCAGTGAGCCTAGACCACACCACTTCACTCCAGCCTGGGTGAAGGAGTGAGACTCTGACTCCAAAATTAATTAATTAATTAAAGAAACCAAACAAAGAGAAGGTTGGCTACACCGAGATCAGCAAGGGTGGGATGATGATGCCACCACCAGGCTCCATCCACATAGGGAGGGGTTGATACTCCTCAAACCAGCACCAGAAGCCAGCCTATGGAAGCTGGCACCATGGAGAAGGCACAGGCATGGCAAGAGTGGCTCCCAGTCCCCACCAGGAACAGGGTGTGTGGACACTGGTGCCTGCCTTACTGATCAGTTCATACCTTCTGCCAAGGATTCCAATTCGTCCAAAAGAGATTGAACCAGTCTGCTAAGAGCCTGGACGTGCAGCCTATCCTGGTTCCTCTTCCACCCCCACATAGAAGCAGGAAAGACATTAGTTCGAAATAGATACAACAGCCCAAGAGATGAGGCTGAGCCCAGCGGCAAGGGAATCAGGAGCTACTAGAGACAGAGGGACAGAGAAGAGGGAGGGAGACAGATGGAAGGACCTGTACCAGGAGTTATGGGCACAGAAAAGAACATGAAGACACAGAGAGGAAGGAGAGAGATAAGACACCAGCGAGGGGAAGCCTCACTCATTCTAGGTGCCATGGATGGGATGATAAAGAGAGATGCCTTCTAAAGTCACAACCTCTCTTCCTAGGAGTCCACAGAAAACCTTCCCTCCTGGCCCACCCAGGTCCCCTGGTGAAATCAGAAGAGACAGTCATCCTGCAATGTTGGTCAGATGTCATGTTTGAGCACTTCCTTCTGCACAGAGAGGGGAAGTTTAATGACACTTTGCGCCTCACTGGAGAGCTCCATGATGGGGTCTCCAAGGCCAACTTCTCCATCGGTCGCATGACGCAAGACCTTGCAGGGACCTACAGATGCTACGGTTCTGTTCCTCATTCCCCCTATCAGTTGTCAGCTCCCAGTGACCCTCTGGACATCGTGATTACAGGTGAGAGTGTCTGGACATTATTCTCATTGTCACTGGGACACAGAGTGAATGATCCACGACTTGGAGGCCCAGGTGGTTATAAGGAAGATGAGCTTGGTATTCTTATGGAGAGAGACTAACTTGGTGAGGTCTGTACCAACAGAGACAGAGAAACAGGAGACACAAGTACAGACCAGGTGTCATAACAGAGGACAGACACAGGGGCCATACAGGGAGTTAGAAAAGACAGAAAGAGTTAAAGGAGACACAGACAGACATGTGCCAGAGAGAGGTGTCCTTCCATGCTGACTTTGCTCAGAGACCTGGCACAGGTTAGAAGTTTCATTTCTGTTTTACTTCCACAAAGTGTTCTCTACCAGAAGAACCCAAGGACACCCATATTTCTGGCCTGAGTTGGGCCCTGTGGCCTCAGGCCTTCTGGCACCTACAGATGCCGTGTTTATTCTGACACCTCTGCCTTCCATGCAATGGAGAGTAATCGTCCCAGGATATCATGGCCCCAGAACATCAACCCCTGTATACTGTGTGAACTTGCGGTCCCCAGACTGGATTCTGAGGCTCACATTCCAAATAACCCCACATATGAGAGGATCACTGAGAGACACAGAGAGAAATCAGGGACACCAAAAAGCAAAGACATAAACACACAGAGAATGAGCCAGAGGAAGGAGATTGAGAGACTCACAGACACATAAAGAGGGAGAAAAGAGGGCAGAGAAGTGGAGAGAACAATGGAAGGGAACAGAGAAAAGCACTAAAATTAGAGTCCTGAGGGAGAGGCACAAGGACATAGAAAGATGGAGATGTGGGGATGAATTGCAGAGATTCCAAAGAGAACTAGAGAGACCGAGAGGCAGAGCAAGACAGATGATAGATGGATAGATATAGATAGATGATAAATAGGTAGATGATAGATAATAGGTTATAGATACATAGATGATGATCGATTCATTCATTGATTAATCGATGATACATAGAGATGATGAAGATGAAGATAGATAGATAATACATAGAGATAGAGAGGCAGACAAAGAGAAATCATAGAGAGAGAGAGACGATACATAGATATAGATAATAGATGATTTTTGGATAGACAATTGATAGATAAATAGATTATATATAGATATAGATGACAGGTAGAGAATTTGTAGATAGGCACCAGATAGATAAATAGATATATCGATAGATAATAGATAGAAATATGCAGAAAGTTATGAACAGGACACAAAGTGAGAAACTCAGAATTTAAAAAAAGTAACATCAAGTCAACTAGTCCAAGGAGAGTCAGAGAGAATAAAACAATCCAAAAAGGGAAAACATATCTAGAGGTGAGAAAGTGAGGTCAGAGACCTAGAGAGACAGAGAAGGTGGAAAGAGGAAATAGACATAAAGAGAGATGGTGTGGAGGGTGAGACAGAGAGAGAGAGCATTAGGCCATAGAGCAGGGGAGTGAGTTCTCAGCTCAGGTGGGAGGGGAGTTGTGACAAGGAAGAACCTCCCTGAGGAAACTGCCTCTTCTCCTTCCAGGTCTATGTGGGAAACCTTCTCTCTCAGCCCAGCCGCGCCCCATGGTTAAGGCAGGAGAGAGCGTGACCTTGTCCTGCAGCTCCCGGAGCTCCTATGACATCTACCATCTATCAAGGGAGGGGGAGGCTCATGAACTTAGGTTCCCTGCAGTGCCCAAGGTCAATGGAACCTTCCAGGCCAACTTTCCTCTGGGCCCTGCCACCCACGGAGGGACCTACAGATGCTTCGGCTCTTTCCGTGACTCTCCCTACGAGTGGTCAGACCTTAGTGACCCACTGCTTGTTTCTGTCACAGGTGAGGAAACCAGTCTGTTCCCCAAATAGTGGGACTCAGATGGACTACAATGGCCACATTCAGGGGAGCCTCAGATGGAGGGGGTGGCCATGGGGGTGTCAGCCAGAGATGCTGGACAGAAGAGACACAAAGCAAACATACAGAAAGAGGCATAGACAGACAGACAGAGCGAGGCAGACAGATCACATTAGGGTTTGGGGTGGTAACTGCAACCCTACCTGAAGCTTGCAGATAGAGCACAGGCCACATAAACCACTTCCCAGTCTTTGTACAGAAGCCCACCTGGGACACATGTAAACAGCATCAATGCTGACTCAGGAGCATGAAAGGCCGGGCTCAGATTGGAAAGACTAGAGGTAGCATTGGCCGCCCGCCATTGCCCATTTCCAGAAGCCCCCACCTCTCACCAAAGAGTGATTTCCACATGGGGGGCACAGATGCAACCATCGTTGGGGGAGCCCCAATGTCTCTTGATGGGAGGCATTTTCCACCCTAGATGTTTTTTGCTCTCTCCACACCTTGGAGACTCAGTGGGGGAGTCTTCTCTGGGGACTCGGGGAGGGCCTCCCTGGGACTCGCAGGATTTCCAAGCTAGATGACAACATGACAGGTGGAAACAGGCCCATTCCTTCGCCAGGGGCCCCAAGCTCCATCCCAGGAGATGAGAAGAGGCTCTTCTCATTGGTCAGTGGATCCCTGAGGGGACAGAGGCTCAGCACTGAAGGCTGAGAAGGATCTGCCACTTCGCTCAGTGGCCTCAAGCCAGACATCTTCCCTACAGACTTGCAGTGATTCTCCATCAGCATTTAGGGCTGTGGCCACCAACCTGGGTGTTGGTCTGTAGGAACTTTTCATTTCTGACCTTCCATAACTGAGTTCTCTTCCTAAATGTGGAATGCCTTGTACTCCATGTTACTCTCTCCCCAGAAAGAATGTGTGGCTTGTCTGCTCTCCAGCCCTGTCATGGAGATTGATAATCCTTAGGGAGCAAGAGGAGAGGGAAAGAACAAAGTATGAGACCACCTAGGTGCTACTGGTTGAGGTTCCATTTGCCAGTGAAGGGACTTCACTCAGCCGAGGGGGCAACTCAGGGAAGTCAGCCGAGGGAGGGCATTAGAGTAGAGAGAACTGAGCTCACCCAGTAAATGACCCCTTCACTAACTCATTCATCTAATATTTATTTCACACCTACCATCAGTTCTCTCTGTTTCATGGCCAGGAGTAGACAGCACGGCCAAGCTCCTGGGTTCATGATGCTCACATTGCTGTGGGGTGGGAGAGAGAGGCAGAACATGAATGAATGAATGAGAGAATGAATGAATGAGTGAATGATGGAATGAGTGAATGAATGAATGAATGAATGTATGAATTAGTGAGTGAATCCTTAGCACTTGGTGAAAGTGCCATGCACAGAATGAAATGAATGAACGTGGAACGTTGTCATTTGGAGTGTACAGGAGGGAACGTCTCACTGAGACCTCATCAGAGAGATCACATTTAAACTCCGATCTTAGAGACAAGAGGGAGTGAGCCCTGGGGAGTGTATTGAAAGGAACTTTCATGGACTTAGGACATTGGGGATGACCCTAATGTGAGAATGAGCTTGGTGTGTTCCAAGAAGTCCATGGACCTGCCATATGGTGAGGGCTGGTCAGAATCCAGAGAGATTTCTAAATGCCCTTGTGCTTGTAAGGAAAGTGAGTCCTGTGGTTGGGAGTGGACTTATACCTTGGGTCAGGTCCAGCAATTATCTTTCTAAATCCTCTCTAATTGCCTGAACCACTTCTATCAACAACTGAGAAAAGAGGAGTGTTAAACACCCCACTGTGGCCGTGGATTTGCCTACCTGTCCATTTATTTCCGCGACTCTTCCTCCATGTATATTTGCAGGAATATTACTGGGAGTGGTTAAGTGTAAACTGATTATATATTCCTGGTAAATTTAAAATGCTATAAATTTACCTGCTTTTTTCCTACATTTTATGCTTAATGTTTTCCGCTGATTTTTCCCAAAGACTAATTTTGTCTAATTTTAATATAGTTATACCACATTTCTAACAGTGATTGCTTGGTATATTTCTACATTGTTTAATTTCAAACTCCATGAATTGTTAACATTGAGATGTGTCCTTTGTAAATTTCAAACAATTCGCCTTAGAAAGTAAGACTTTCTGACAATCTTTTGTTCATGTTTGAGCAGTTCTTCCAATCATATTTTTGTTATTATTACGTTGTGTTTTCCTGATTCCCTTTTTTTCCCACTGACTTCTGTGGTTTTCTATTTCAAACATTCTATTTTTGATCTATGTCGTTTAGGAATACATATATGGTGTACTCATCCTGAAGTTGTTACATATTTTTAAAATTGAAATTAATCATTTCAGAGATTAAACTGCAAATATAAAAACATATTTCCACTCTTCCTGTGTAAGAACAGGATTTTAGAGCATATTTAGTACATATGTTTGTATTTACTTATATGATGTTTTGTTTTGTGGTATACATAATTCTATCTTTTTCAGAAATTACACAGGGGCGTGTTTTCATACACTATCGTATGGTCCATATTCATTTTTGGCATAGCCATATTTTTAGTTCTTCCTCTGCTCTTAGTTATTGTCAGAATCTTCGACACCCCATCTGGTTTCACTTTCTTTATCTTTGAGGCACGGTCATCAGAATTTCCTTTAGGGTCAGTGAGAAAAGCTTTCTTTGACCTTTTGTCTTTCAGTTCTGTTTCTTTCCTGCGTTGATCTTGGACAGTAACTGTACTATGTAAGGAATTGTCGGTGGCTGGCGACGGTATCTTAGCTGGGTAAAGATGCTATTCTACTGGCTTATGTTTTCCTTTTTTCTGTGGGGAAGACAATGCTTGGCTCCCTATAAATCCTTACCAGCTGATCCTTTTCCTCTGGCTAATTTTAAGGGTTGGTTGTGCTTTTATGCTGCTTTTCTGTAATGTTGAACGTGAGGTGTGTTTACTTCATTCTGCCTGGCATTCACTGGATTTCTTGAACCTGTGGATTGATGGATGTGTCTACTTCCTCCAAATAATCAACAATTGCCTCTTTAAAGATTGCTTCTGACCTGTTTTCTCGTTCTTTCTTTTTGGAACTCAAGTTAGGAGCATTCTAAAACTGTTGTCAATTTTTACCCTGTCACAAAACTGCTCTTTCTTGTTTCAGTTATTTGCTTTTTCTGTGCATTAATATTGATGGTTTCCTCTGTCATAGAGGATAAATACTCTCTTCACTGTTGTGTACACAACATTTTAACTAGTTATTCTGGTTTAAATTTAATATTGACTTTATCTATATATCACAATTGATTACTGTGTACAGACTTTCTTTTCTATTAGTATAAATTTATGAGGTACACTTGTAATTTTGTGACATGAGTATGTTGCAGAGTAGTGAAGTCAGGACTTTTACTATATCCATCACCCAAATACCGTACATTGTACTCATTAAGCAAATTCTCATCACTCACCCACGTCCCGCCACCCTCCAGCCTTCTAGCCTCCGCTGTCCGTCATTCCACACTCTACGTCCATATGTACACATTACTCCCCTCCCATGTAGAGTGAGAAGATGTGGTATTTGTCTTTCTGAGTGGTTTTATGTAAAATAATGGCGTCCAGCTCCATCTATGTTGCTGCAAAAGACATGGTTTTATTTTTATGACCAAATAGTATTTCGTTGTGTATACACGCATCCTTTTTTTAATCCAATCATTCATTCACAGACACTTAGATTGATTTCATATCTTTGCTATTGCAAACAGTGCTGCAATAAACATACAGGTGCAGATATTTTTTGAGTAGATACCCAGCAGCGGGACCCCTAGATCGAATGGTGCTTCTATTTTTGGTTCTCTGCCAAATTTCCATACTGTCTTCCATAGAGGCTATACTAATTTACATACCGGCCAACAGTGTATAAGAGTTTCCTTTTCTCTGCATCCTTGCCAACACCTGTTATATGTTTCACTTTTTCTTTTTTTCTTTTTGAGATGGAGTCTTCCACTGTCACCCAGGCTGGAGTGCAGTGCCGCCATCTCCACGCGCTGCAACCTCCACCAACCAGGTTCAAATGATTCTCCTGCCTCAGCCTCCTGAGTAGCTGGGATTACAGAACCACACCACCATGCCCAGCTAATCTTTTGTATATTTAGTAGAGATGGGGTTTCACTATGTTGGTCAGGCTGGTCTCAAACTCCTGACCTCATGATCCACCCGCCTCAGCTTCCCAAAGTGCTGGGATTACAAGCGTGAGCCACCACTCCCCACCAGCATTTTTAGTAATAGCCATTCTGACTACTGTAAGATGATATCTCATTGTGGTTTCAATTTGCATTTCTCTGATGATTAGTGATGTTCATACGCTGTTTGGCCATTCGTATGTCTTCTTTTGAAAAATGTCTATGTATATCCCTTTGCCCACTTTTTAATGCTATTATTTGAGGGGTTATGTTTAGTTGTTTGAGTTGCCTAGAAATTCTGGATGTTAGTCCTCTGTTGGGTGCATAGTTTGCAAACATTTCCATTCATTCAGTGGGTTGTCTGTTCACCCTGCTACTATTTCCTTTGCTTGGCAGAAGCTCTTTCGTTTATTAAGTCCCATTGGTCTAGTTTTATTTTTATTGCCTGTGCTTTTGAGGTCTTAGTGATGAATTCTTTGCCCAGACCAATGCCCAGAAGAGTTTCTCTTTGGGTTTCCACCGGTGATTTTATAGTTCTGGATTTACATTTAAGCTGCTAATTACCTTAAGTTAATTTATGTGTATGATTACAGATACAGGTCCAGTTTTATTCTTCTGCATATGGCTATTTAGTTTTCCCAGCACCTTTTATTGAAAAGGAAATCTTTCTCCAGTGTATGTTTTGTTAACGTCGTCAATGATTATTCACTGTAGATATGAGGCTGTATTTCTGGGCTCTCTATTCTGGTCTATTGATCTCTGTTTCTGTGTCTATACCAGCACTGTGCTATTTAAGTTACTATAGCCTTAGAGCATAGTTTGAAGTCAGATAGCGTGATGCCTCCAGGTTTCTACATTCACCTAGAATTGCTTTCTCTATTAGGATCTTTTTTGGTTCTGTATGAATTTTAGGATTGCTTTTTCTAATTCTGTGAAAACTGGTGTTACTATTTTCATATAAGAATTGCACTGAATCTGTAGATTGCTTTAGGCAGTATGGTCATTTTAACAATATTAATTCTTATGATCCATGAGCGTGGGATTTTTTTTCTTTTTTTTTTTTGTATTATCTATAATTGCTTTCATTGGTGTCTTACACCTTTCCTGGTACAGATCTTTCACCACCTTGGTTAAATGTATTCCTGAGTGTTTTAATTTTGCGTATCTATTGTAAACGGCATTGCCTTCTTGATTTGGTTCTCAGCTAGATCATTATAGGTGTAGAGAAATGCTACCGGCTTTTACATATTGATTTTGTATTCTGAAACTTTACTTAGTTCATTTATCAATCATAAGAATTTTTGGCAGGGTCTTTAGGATTTTCTAGATTTAAGATCATAGCATCAGAAATAAAAATAATTTTACTTCCTCTTTTCTAATTTGGATTTTTACTTCTTCCTGTTGCCCAATAGCTCTGACAAGGCTTCCAGTACTATGTTGATAGGAAGTGGTGGATGTCCGTGTCCTTGTCTTGTGCCAGTTCTCAGAGGAGTGCTTTTAACTTTTCCTGTTCAGTATGATGTTGACTCTAGATATGTCATCTATGGTTTTTATTATTTTGAGGTATGTTCTTTCTATGCCTAAGTTTTTGAGGGTTTTCATCAGGTAAGGATGTTGAATTTCTTTTCAGATGCTTTTCTTTATGTCTATTGAGATGATCATATGGTTTTTGTTCTGGATTCTGCTCGTTCTTCTAAGTGGATGAGACATGCCAGAAAAGCATTTAGTCAGCCATCTTGGAAACAAGCATCTCAGATGTTTTCTTTCTCTATAGCTCATTCTTTCTTACCAGTGTTTTCAATTTTGTACTTAATTTTGTAAAGAGAGTAAATGATATAATTTCCACATATGTTTCCTCTGCCAAATCAGACTCACTATGCTTCCTTTCCTTGTATGCATAACCTACCCAGCAATACACACAAACATTTATTGCTTTGGAGAATTAGTTTGGGAACATTTTTGAAATGTACAAAAAAATGTATATCTTCAAAAGAAATTTCTTTCTGTGGCAAAAGACTTCTGAAGGTGCTCATGATGATATAGGGAGAAGAGGGGTTCTGGACAGGAAGAATTTTATGAAGGTGAGATGGGGAAATAGCTCCATTTCAGAGCTTCTGGGGAGAGAGGGGCCTGGCCCACATGGAAAGGTCTCTGATCTTACCCCCACCCTCCAGCCCCTGTTCTCCAGAACTATACTGTGGAGAGTTCCATCAGGATTGTTGTGGCTGGTCTGGTCTTCCTGGCTCTTTTGGCAATGCTGGCTAAGACCTGGTGGAGACATGAGGGGCCACAGGTGGAAATGGAAGAAACATGACTGAAGCTGGCTGGAGTGAATGGCGCGACATTCTGTCTGTGGGAGATTGGCCAGATGGGTTTCAAGTGTGTTGTATCAGCTGTGACTTTTAGTAATGTTCTTGCTACCACAATATCCACTCGTCCATCCCGAATAATTGTGATGAAATATTGTCCTTGGGATAATATTCATTTGCTAAAGACAGGGATGATACCTCAAGGTGCCACTATATACAACGAGGGATCCACAAAAGTCCATTCAGTAAAATGTAGTTGGCATCTTAGGGTAGGTTGATTCCACCTCTAAAAAAGTAGGTACAACATCAGGTTGATTTTTCCGAAGAAAAGTGGTGATTGGCCATCTTTAATCTCAATGTAAACGGTAATACTGATGAGTGTGGAAAAGGCAGGGAAGAGGATTGACAATAAGTGACACTCATTGTTTTCATCTGAGCTTTGAGACTGAAAGAGGAACACAGGAGTGAGATGTATGGGAACAAACCCCTTCTTTTTCCAGCTAAACAGAGTGGAAGTTGGACACTGAGTTTTGGCGTACAGCAAAATCCTAAGTCCATTGTTGGGTTGAACACGGCCATGTTGTACATCCTGGTTTCACAGCAGACACTGGAGGAAAACAGCCTGTATTCATAAGAGGCTGTCCCTCGGGTCACTGCCCAGAATATCCGGAGTTGGTGCTCACAGGGTTGGGAACTCTCCTGGACCAGACAGGCTCTGGATATGGGGGGGTACCAAGCTCCCCGGGGCCATGCCTCCACAGCTCTCTTCTCACCTCATTCTTGACCATTTCCCAAACCTCTGACCTCACCTTCATTCATCCATGGTGAACACGCTAAAGCTGGCCTTCAAAGCTTGAGACAGAGGAAAATTGGGCTTCATCTCTGGGAACTAAATTGGGGAGTGGAGACTCAGTTCTGGCCTGACAGGAGGGAGAAGACCCTGGATCCCAGTGTGGATGGGAAGAAGTATGTGTTTCTCTTTTGTGCTTGGACCCTGTGTCCAAGCATGTCTGAGATGTGATGAAGATGAATCTTCCTTTCCTTGTCTATTTTCTCATGCCAGAGAATTGGAATCTTATATTCCATTAACTCTTTCTGTTCTGTTCATCCAGATTCTATGAAGGAGAAAGGAAAAGATGTGATACTGTAATTTTGCTCCATTTGTCTAAAATGAGTAGGCTGCAACTCCTCTTGAAGTGATACCTTTTCTAGCTCTTGTTGGAGGTGTCTCAGGACTCATTACTTCGGGGAACCTGCAACTGTGTCAGTCTGGGGAAACTGCAAATATTCTTGTCTTACATTTGTCTCCAGCCAATTGTGATGGACTCCAGTGACCTGCAATTGCTGTTATTGCAGGTAAAATGTACCTGAGTCAGGCCACAGTTCTCCTGGACTATGAGCCCCTGGCCATGTTCCTGAGGCAATTCTGTTCATCTAAATATAATAATAATAACACACTAAAAATGGCAAGCCATTGTTAATTCCTGAAGTCTCATTTGAAAATTACTAAATGTCTGTTATTTTTTGGTGTTTACATTATATGTAGACAGATAAACTACACACACACACACACACACATGCACACAGAAGAATGGATTGGTTCATGTAGAAAAGTAAATAATTCAAGATGAAAGGATGAAATGTCATGGCACCTACTATTCTATTTTAGATAAAGGGTCTATGAAAAGATTGATTTCTTTTTATGTTTTATTTGTTGACATTTGAACACAAACTATGTAAGTGAGGGAGTCGATTTGAAAGGGAGAAGAGCAAGTTCAAACACATTCAGGTGAGGTCATGCTTTACATGTTTTAATTGAAATGATCCATCTTGGGAGTAGATCAATAACTGAGATGGTGCCAGGAATGTTAAAAAGCTTTTGTCAGTCCTAAATATTGACAAATAAAATTTAATTAAAGTCTTAGAAGAAAACACAAAGGAAAACTTCACAACATCGGATTTGGCAGTGATTCTTTAGATGTGACAACAACGGCACAGGCTACTACAGAAAAAATAAACAAGTTAGACTTTATGAAAATTTTGAAATATTGTGACTCAAAAGACAACATCAGTTACTTCACATGGCAAGGAAAAAGAACTTTTAAGACGATATTATCAAAGTAAAAAGACAACCCACAGAATGGGAGAAAATGTTTTCAAACCACACCACCTGTAAGGGATTAACATCCAGAATATACAGACAACTCCTAAAACTCAATCACAATAAACTCAATTCAAAAATGGGCAAAGTACTGAAACAGACATTTCTCCAAAGAACATACGCATGAAAAGATATTCAGCATCACGAATCATTAGGGAAATACTAACTAAAACTACACCAGATGCCATTTCATACCCCTTAGGATGGGTATCATCAAAACAACAACAACAACAACAACAACAAAGTTTCTATACATTAACAACAAACTATCCAAACAAGTTTACAAGAAAATAAGCCCATTTGCAATAACTACAGAAAACAAAACATGCAGGAATAAATTCACCCAAGGAGTAGAAAGATCTGTATGCAAAAGCTATAAAACATTGATGAAAAAACTCAAGAAATAAACAAATAAATCGAAAGATATTCCATGTTCACGGATCAGAAGGATTAATGTTGTTAAAATGTCCATTCTATCCAAAGTGATTCAATGCAACCATTATCAAAAATCCAATGACATTTTTTTTACAGAAATAGAAAAAACAGTCCTAAAATTCATGTGGAACCACAAAAGATCTCAAATAACCAAAGCCATCTAGAGGGAAAGGAACAAAGTTGGAAGCATCACATTACCTAAACACAAACTACATTACAAAATTACAGTAATTAAAACAACACAGTACTTGCATAAAAACAGACACATAGACCAATGGAAGTGATTCATAGCCCAGGAAAAAAATGCATGCATTTAGGGTCAAACAATTTTTGGGATGTGTCAAGAACACACAATGGAGAAGGAACAGTCTCTTTAATAAATGGGATTGGGAGACTGCATGTCCACATGCAGAAGAATGGAAGTGGACATTTGCCTCACAAAACATACAAAGTCAACTCAAGATAGATTAATGACTTAAATGTAAGATGAAAGACTATAATCCCAGCAATTTGGGAGGCCAAGGTGGGCAGATCACCTAAGGTCAGGATTCCAAGACCAGCATGGCCAACATGGTGAAATCCCGCCTCTACTAAAAATACAAAAACAGCTGGGTGTGGTTGTGGGTGCCTGTAATCTCAGCTACTCGGGAGGTTGAGACAGGAGAATCACTTGAACCCAGGAGGTAGAGGTTGCAGTGAGCCGAGATCGCACCACTGCACTCCAGCCGGGGCAACACAGTGAGACTCCATCTTAAAAAAAAAAAAAAAACTACTAAAAGAAATCAAGGGAAAACTCCACTGGCTTGGGCAAAACCATTTTGGATATTAACCCAAAGGCCCAGGCAACAAAAGCAAAAGTAGACAAATAACATTATATCAAATTGAAAGTTTCTGCAAAGAAAAAAAAAACTCAACAAGTGGAAAGACAACCTATGGAATGGGAGAATATATTTGCACCCATACATCTAATAAGGAATTAATATCCAAAATATATAAGAAACTCAAACAACTCAATGGTAAGAAATCAAATAACCCAACTTAAAAAAATGGGCAAAGTATCTGAATAAACATTTCTAAGAATAAGACAAATCACCAAAAGGTATATGAAAAAATGATTAGCATTACTAAACATCAGCTAAATAAAAAATTAAACTAGAATGAGATATCACCTCACACCTCTTAGAATGACCATTAACAGTCTGGGCATGGTGGCTCATGCCTGTAATTCAGGCACTTTGGGAGGCCGAGGCAGGGAGATTACCTGAGGTCAGCAGTTCGAAACCAGCCTGGCCAATATGGTGAAACCCCATCCCTACTAAAAATACAAAAATTAGCAGAGTTTGGTGGCGCACACTTGTAGTCCCAGCTACTCTGGAGACTGAGGCAGGGGAATCGCTTGAACCCAGGAGGCAGAGGTTGCAGTACACCGAGATTGTGCCACTGCACTCCAGCCTGGGTGACAGAGCAAGACTGAGTCTCAAAAAAAAAAAAAAAAAAAAGACCATTATCAAAAACATAAAAAATAACAAGGGTTAACGAGGATGTGGAGAAAAGGGAACATTTGTATGCAGTTGATGGGAATGTAAATTAGCACAACCATTATGGAAAACAGTCTGGAAGTTCCTGAAAAAATTAAACATAGAATTCCCATATGTGTCTGCAATCCAACTACTGCGCATGTATCCAAAGGAAGTGGAATCAGTATGTTGAAGAGATATCTGCATTCCCATGTTTACAGCCGCGTTATTCATAACAGCCAAGATGTGGAATCACCCTTACTGCCCATCTATGGGTGCATGGACAAAGAAAACGTGGTATACGATAGGAACGTAATGAAGTACTATACAACCTTTACAACAAAGAAGGAAGTCCTCTCATTTGTGACAATGTGAAAAAACTTAGAGGACATTATGTTAAGGGAAACAATCCAGGCACAGAAAGACAAATGCCACATGATCTCATGTGTGGAGTGTAAGAAGTGGAACCTAGAGGAACAGTAAAATGGTCGTCGAAAGAACCTGGGATGGAGAGAGATTGAAGAGATGTTGGTCAAAGGATGCAAAATTTCAGTTAGAAGAAATCGGTTCAAGAGATCTATTGTATGTCTTGGTGACTCCAGTTAATAGCAACATATGGTGTATTGAACATTACTAAGAGATTAGATTTTACATGTTCTCACCACACACACAAAACATACAAGTATGTGAAAAAATAAATATGATAAAGAGGTTGTTTCATCCATTCCACAATGTGTACCTATATGAAAACATCATGATGGACACCACAAATACCCTTTTCCTCATTAATTAAATTTGTTTTGGTTTTTTTTTTGAGATGCAGTTTCACTGTTGTTGCCCAAGCTGAGGTGCAATGGCGTGATCTCCGCTCACTGCAACCTCTGCCTCCCAGGTTCAAGCGGTTCTCCTGACTCAGCCTCCCAAGCAGCTGGGACTACAGTTGCGTACCACCCCGTCCGGCTATATTTGTGTTTCTAGTAGAGACAGGGTTTCGCCATGTTGGCCAGGCTGGTCTCGAACTCCAGACCTCAGGTGATCCACCCGCTTCGCCCTCCCAAAGTGCTAGATTTCAGGCTGAGACACCACACCCAGCCTGTACATTGACTTTCTGCCCTTAAACTGTGCTGAAGTTTGTTTCTCAGATGTAGGAGCCTTTGGGCAGAGACTATGGGGTTTCTAGGTATAGAAATTATCTCATCTTCAAACAGAGGTAATTTGACTACCTCTCTCTGCTACTCTCTTCTTACTTGGATGCCTTATAATTCTTTCTCTTTCCTGATGGCTCTGTCTAGGACTTCAAGTACTATGTTGAATAGGATGGTGAGAGTGGGCATTCTTGTCTTGTTTCACTTATGAAGGGAACTTCTTCCAGCTTTTACTCATTCAGTATGATGTTGGTTGTGGGTTTGTCACAGGCGGCTCTTATTATATTGAGTTATGTTTCTTCAATGCTTAGCTTGTTGAGGGCTTTTAACATGAAGAAATGCTTAGTAAAAAGTATGTTCTACATGTGTGTTGAGAAGATCATGTGGTTTTTGTTTTTAGTTTTGTTTAGGTGATGAATCACATGTATTGATTGTGTATGTTCAACCAACCTTGCACCCTAAGAATAAAGTTGACTTGATCATGGTGGATTCACTTTTTGATATGCTGCGGGATTCAGTTCTTAGTATTTTTTGTGGATTTTTGCCTCTATGTTCATCAGGAATATTGGCATGTAGTTTTCTTTTGTTTAATGTTCTTTTCTGTCTTTAGTATCAGGGTGATGCCAGCCTTATAGAATGAGTAAAGGCCACCCTGGGCAAACAGTGAGACCCATCCCTTTTTAAAAATTATGAGTTTTACAAATTTAAAATGCATAGTGAAAAAGTTCTTACAAACTCCAGAAAGGTAGGTGTAAATAAGAGACATTTGTAAGAATGACAGCACATTAAATGTGTAGATTTCAACCTTCAGTTATTGCAATATTCCAGTATCAAGTTGGAGGATGTTATCAGTCTGATATTTTTTCCTCAAATGAGAGAGAGAAAGAAAGACACACAAACAACACAGGGAGAAAAAAAGCACACGTTACAGAGAGACAAAAAGGGAGACAGGGAACTGTGAATTTGGACTCTTGTGTCATAAGACAAATTCTAGATAACACGACCAGACCTTCAATTGACATATTGTGTTTTTGCTAATAAGGTGGAATTCTATGATGCGAAATAACTATATAGTCTTTTCTACTGGGATTTAAATCATTTTATCTGTTTCTGGCTTAACAGGAAAAATACAACCATGGAAAATTATGATGATTTATTTAATACGATTGCTCTATAGTGTTAATAAAACCTATTAGGTATTTTGCATATTACATATCAAGGAGAGTTTGAATCTCAGGTAGAAACAAAAAAAAATACATCAAAAGTTCCTCATGTGAGTGCAGAATTCAATCGTCCCGTGCAGGGGTAAGTGAGTCTGAGATGTGTTTTGAGCCTGGCCGTTGCGCATGATGTGAAGTGACAAGTCTAGTCTGCAGTTTTCAGAAACCCTCATTCCTCCCTTGACTGATTCACCACTTGAACCTCATATGACGTAGAAGAAGCCTACCTATGTCCCCTTCACATGTTGTGGTCAATGTGTCAACTGCACGATCCGGGCCCCTCACCACATCCTCTGCACCGGTCAGTCGAGCCGAGTCACTGCGTCCTGGCAGCAGAAGCTGCACCATGTCCATGTCACCCACGGTCATCATCCTGGCATGTCTTGGTGAGTCCTGGAAGGGAAGGAGCACCAGGGTTACACTATGGGCCTGCAGATTGGGTGTCTCCCCAGCAGAGAGCCATGTTCTGAAGCAAGTGAGTGGTGAGGATGAGTTAATTTTCAGTCCAGCGTGGCGCCCAGTGGCTCAGGAGGAAAGGGTAGGTTGCTGCCGAGATGAATAGTTCATCATGATCTTTCTTTGCAGGGTTCTTCTTGGACCAGAGTGTGTGGGCACACGTGGGTGAGTCCTTCCCCAAATGATGGGTTGCCATCTTCACCCCAATACAAGTGAATTTTCCGGAAATGGGAGGGAGGCAGCACAGAGGGTGGGCTGATGGGCTGACCATGGGAAGGCCTGGGGGGAGTCTCTCATGAACTAGTAAGAGGAGATCCTGGGAGTCTCTCATGAACTAGTAAGAGGAGATCTTGGGAGTCTCTCATGAACTAGTAAGAGGAGATCCTGGTATGCTCAGCCTTCTGTTTTGTCTTAGCCCTCCCCAGCCTTTCTTCCCCATGGCTGAGTTGAGCTCTGTGTGGCCCAGGCGGGATACTGAGGTGCTCAAAGCTGGGGTGTGTGGGGGGATGTGGTGTCACCGACAGAGGAGGGAAGGGTAGCAGTGTTAGGAACAGCAGGTCCTCTGAGGACAAGAGGGTAACTCACACCCTCCAGCGTTTCCATGACGGTAGGGGCTGCAGTGTGGCTGCTGTCATTCTGCCAGAAGAGGTGGGGGAACCACAGCCACGACCCTGCCATTCCAAATCCTCTGATGGAGCTCAGTTGTTTATTGTGGTTCAGGCATTAGCTAATATTCCATTCACAAAGGTCATACCCTCCACCCCATGTCTACTTTGTGTTGTTTGGTGTAACTAATCTTGCAGTATTAAAATCTAGTAAGAGTCCCTTACTCAGCACCTGCTCAGTTCTCAACTGACACTTTTGTTGTAGGGAGACGCCACGTCTATGCGGGATGGGTCCTTCCTGTAGCCCCAGGCACCCAGGTGTGGTAGGAGCCTTAGAAAGAAGAAATGGGGAGAATCTTCTGAGCACAGGGAGGGAGGGGCAGCTCAACATACTCCTCTCTGAGGCGGCATCTCCTTCTCCCCAAGGTGGTCAGGACAAGCCCTTCTGCTCTGCCTGGCCCAGCGCTGTGGTGCCTCAAGGAGGACACGTGACTCTTCGGTGTCACTATCGTCGTGGGTTTAACATCTTCACGCTGTACAAGAAAGATGGGGTCCCTGTCCCTGAGCTCTACAACAGAATATTCTGGAACAGTTTCCTCATTAGCCCTGTGACCCCAGCACACGCAGGGACCTACAGATGTCGAGGTTTTCACCCGCACTCCCCCACTGAGTGGTCGGCACCCAGCAACCCCCTGGTGATCATGGTCACAGGTCAGAGGGCTCCTGTCTGGGCTTCTCCTTGTCCCACCTCCTGAGTCCCAGAGCTTCTGGTGGGGGTGTCCACCAGAGTCCGATCATCCAGGCCCCAACTATATTTGGGGTAAAGGGGGATTGAATACAGGGGAATGGGTGCTGTGTTGGAAAGAATAACTGTCCCCATCGATGGCCACATTGTAATCCTTGGAGCCTGTGACTATGTTATAGGGCAGGGGACTGAAGGGGAAGATGGAGCTCAGGTTGTTGATGAGTTGACCTTGAGATGGGGAGATGGCCTGGACTCTCCCACTGGGCTCAGTGTAATCACAAGGGTCCATATGAGTGGAGAAGGAAGAGGAGAATGGGGATTAGAGCAGCATCGTGGGATACTCCACCAGCCACTGTGGGCTTTGAAGGTGGAGGAAGACCACGAGCCACGAAGGGGCTGGAGAAATCAATGGAACTGATTCTCCCGAGTCTCCAGAGGGAATGCAGCCCTGCAGATGCCTTGATTGTAGCCCAGGAAGAACAGGGTCTGATTTCTGTCTCCAGAAGTGGAAGGGGTCAGTGTGTTCTCTCCTGCCGCCATGTTTGTGATAATTTTCTCCAGCAACAACAGGAAACCAACACAGGAACCCAGGTGAAGGACAAGTTAAAAAACCAAACAAGAAGGTTGGCTACCCTGAGATCAGCAAGGGTGCACTGCTGATGCCACCACCAGGCTGGAACCACATAGGGAGGGATCGACAGGAAGAGTTGGGGGTGGAGGGTGAGAGAGAGAGAGAGAGCACTAGGCCATAGAGCAGGGCAGTGAGTTCTCAGCTCAGGTGGGAGGGGAGCTGTGACAAGGAAGAACCTCCCTGAGGAAACTGCCTCTTCTCCTTCCAGGTCTATATGAGAAACCTTCGCTTACAGCCCGGCTGGGCCCCACGGTTCGCGCAGGAGAGAACGTGACCTTGTCCTGCAGCTCCCAGAGCTCCTTTGACATCTACCATCTATCCAGGGAGGGGGAAGCCCATGAACTTAGGCTCCCTGCAGTGCCCAGCATCAATGGAACATTCCAGGCCGACTTCCCTCTGGGTCCTGCCACCCACGGAGAGACCTACAGATGCTTCGGCTCTTTCCATGGATCTCCCTACGAGTGGTCAGACCCGAGTGACCCACTGCCTGTTTCTGTCACAGGTGAGGAAAGCCAATGTCTGTCCCATGTCCTATGGTCCTAGAGCCTTAGCTGAGGAGCTTCCTGCTGATGATGGAGAGAAGCATGGACAGATGTGGAGAGAAGATGCAGCATGGTGTGAGGGTGGGATCAGGGCACAGGATGGCAGACAGGGCACCTCCAAACCCTCCTGCATGGCCTGCATGGAAGCTTGCAGTAAGGGCTCCGGGTACCCAGGCAGATGGAGAAAGTGGTCAGGACAGACCCAGAGGAGGGAGACTGGGCTCAGTTTGGGGAGATCAGAGGTTCCCTCAGCCCCTCAACCTTACCCATTTCCCAGAAGCCCACCCTGGCCTCTCACCTACACAGAGATGTCATCACCAGCAACCCCTACACTTTTTCTTTTCCTTTGAAAAAATGCTGATTGAGGTTAAATATACCTATATAATTTATCAACTTTACCATTTTTAAGTGTAAAATCTAGGGATCATAAATACCTTTATATGCTGTGTGCGGTGGCTCACGCCTGTAATCTCAGCATTTTGAGACGCCAAGGCAGGTGGATCATTTAAAATCAGGGGCTGGAGACCAGCCTGGCCAACATGGGGGAACCAATCTTTACTAAAAAGACAAAAAAAATAAAATTAGCCAGGCATGGTGCCAGGCACCTATAATCCCAGCAACTTGGGAGGCTGAGGCGGGAGAGTGGCTTAAACCCAGGAGGAGGAGGTTGCAGTGAGCTGAGATCATGCCACTGCACTGCAGTCTGGTGACACAGAGAGACTCTGTCTCTAAATAAATAAATAAATACTTTTATATTCTTCTTTTGTTACCCTCCACCCCTTCCTTCCTAACCTCTGGTATCCACCATTCTACTCTCTACCTTCATGAGGTCCACCTTTTACATCCTGCATGTGAGTAAGAAATGGCAATCCTTGTAATGACCTCCAGTCCATCCATGTGGCTGCAAATGACAGGACGTTACTCTTTGTATGGATGAGTTGTCTCCATTGTGTGTATGTACTACATTCTCTCTATCCATTCATCCACTGATGGGCAGGTAGGTTGACTCCACATCTTGGCTACTGTGAACAGTGCTGGAACAGTCATGGGAGTGCAGATGTCACTTCAATACACTGAAGTCCTTTTCTTTGCATTTACACCCACTAGTGGAATTGCTAGATCCTCTGGATGTTCTCTTTTTAGGTTTTGTTTTATGCTTTTTGTTTTTTTGACATAGCGTTTCACTCTTGTTGCCCAAGCTGGAGTGCAATGGCACCACCTGGGCTCACTGCAACCTCTACCTCCAGGATTCAAGTGATTCTCCAGCCTCAGCCTCCCGAGTAGTTGGGATTACTGGTGCCCGCCACCACGCCTGGCTGATTTTTGTATTTTTAGTAGAGACGGGGTTTCACCATGTTAGCCAGGCTGGTCTCGAACTCTTGACCTCCAGTGATCTGCCCACTTCAGCCTCCCAAGGTGCTGGGATTACAAGCGTGAGCCACAGTGCCTAATCTCTTTTTAGTTTTTAAGGAACTTCCATATTCTTCTCCTCTGTAATGGCTGTATTAATTTACATTCCTATCAACAGTGTATCAGGGTTCTCCTTTCTCCACCACCTTGCCAACATTTGTTTTGTCTGTCTCTGAGATAAAACCCATTGTAATGGGGTGAGATGATAGCTCATTGTGACTTCATTTGCATTTCTCTGATGATTAGTGATACTGAGCACTTTTTCATATATGCAATGTATATATGTTCATTTGTATGTTTTGTTCATTGAGAAATGTCTGTTCAGGTCTTTTACTAATTTTATAATTAAATTATTAGTTTTATTGAGGTGTTTGAGCTTCTTTTATATTCTAGTTATTAATCCCATCTCAGATGCATAGTTTGCAAATATTTGCTCCCATTCTGTGGGTTGTCTCTTCTTCACTTCATTGGTTGCTTCCTTTGCGGTGCAGAAGCTGCTTGATTTGATATAATCCCAATGGTCTATTTTTTTGTTGTTGTTGTGATTACTTGTGTTTTTGAGGTTTTAAACAAAATGTCTTCCCTCAGACAAATGTCCTGGAGCATTTCTCCAGTGTTTCCTTTTAGACATTTAATGGATTCAGGTCTTAAGTCATTAATCCATTTTCATCTGATTTTTGTGTATGGTGAGAGGTAGAGGTGCAGTTTCATCCCTCTGCATGTAGATATCCAGTTTTCCCTGCACCATTTATTGAAATGACTGTCCTTTCCAGATTGTAGATTCTTCGAACCTTTGTCAAAGTCCATTGGATGTAAATGGGTGGATTACATCCGTGTTCTTCATTCTGCTCCATTGTTTTATGTGCTTTTCTTTATGCCAATGTCATGTTGTTTTGCTTACTACAGCTCTGTAACATATTTTTAAGTCAGGTAGTGTGATGCTCCTGTTTTCTCCTTATACCTTGAAGTCTCAAGATAGTTGGTGTCACCTACAATGATTATGGAGAATGGGATGCCAGGACTCCCAGGGCCCAACATTAGATAATAGAATGTTGGCCATGAACCAACCTCAAAGATTTCCATTGAGTAGAAGACAGGCATCCTCATTGCCACACCTCTCTCCTGTCCCATGTTCTAGGAAACCCTTCTAGTAGTTGGCCTTCACCCACTGAACCAAGCTTCAAAACTGGTAAGTGAAGGACCCCTCTTATCTCTGCTTTTGGAAACCTGGGGAGGTAGAAGCCTTGGATTCAAGCGTTGGCTCAGCACCTGCCAGCTCTGTGATTGTGGGCCTGTCTTCCATTGTCTCTGAACCCCAGACACTCCAACAGGGAAAGGGATCTGGGCCCAGCACAGGGCTCAGTGAAATCTCTTAATCTCTAATTTTCTGCTGCTGAGACCTCAGGGTAGAAGGATGAGTGCAAATCAGACATTCTTCTCAGGAAAAATGCTGTGTTTGTTCTGCCTGCATTCCTAACTGGGAGGACAAATGCCTGGGGGCTTGAGAAGGGGAAGGAAGGGGAACATTTTTGAGGGTGGTGTATTTGTAGAGAAGTTCTACTTGCCAAGGAATGAGCTCCTGTCTGTCATGATCCAACCCTGGTTGACTTAGTGGAACAAGAGCTTTGCGGTAAGAGAGAACGTAGTTCATCCGTGCACATGACACTTCCACTTACTCGTTCAGCCACTGCCCCATGCTCAGACTGTGCAGTGTGGAACCTTTTCCTATGTTGCCATAACAAATTTCCACAAGCTTCGTGGATGGAAACCACATTTTTAAAAAATATCTCATGGTGCTGTAGCTCAGAAGTATGAAATGCATCATCTCACTGGGCTAAAATCAAGGTGACAGCAAGGCTGCCTTCCCTCTGAATGTTCCAGGCAAGAATCTGCTTCCTCACTTTTCCCAGCTCCTAGAGGCTCCCACATTCCTTGGCTCCTGGTCCCCGTCTTCCTCCCTCAAAGTCCACAAAGGCTGGTCACGCCTCTCACACGGCATCACTCAGACCCTTCTTCCTTGTCCACACCTCTTTCTCTGAATGCTGCTCTGCCTTCTTCCTCATCTTTTAAGGACTTTGGCATTCTATTGGAAACACCAAGATAATCCATCATAATTTCCCTAAAATCATCTAGGATACCCTCCTTTTAAGGTTAGCTGATTAGCAACCGTAATTCCATCTGCAATCTGCATTCCTTTTTTCCATGTAAAATAACATATTCACAAGATATGGCGACTAGGACAGGAACATTTTGGGGTGGGGCGGCATTCTTATCCTTTCCACAAATGGTAAACAAGGTGCATTTGGCCTCTGCTCTTGGACACTGATATTGCAAAGGATTAAATGGGAGGGCAGAAAATGAATGCACCAGTGGACCAATAAATGAATGATCCATTGGGAAGCATCTGTGCATGAGAATGATTGATTGATTGGTTGTTTTTATGAGACGGTGTCTCCCTCTGTGCCCCAGGCTGGAGTGCAGTGGCGGGATCTCGGCTCACCGCAACCTCCACCTCCCAGGTTAAAGCGATTCTCTACACTCAGCTTCCCGAGAGGCTGGGATTACACCCATGTCCCACCACGCCTGGCTAATTTTTTTTTGGTATTTTTTTTTTAGTACAGACAAGGTTTTACCATGTTGCCCAGGCTATCTCAAACTCCCAACCTTAAGGGATCCGCCCGTCTCAGCCTCCCAAAGTGCTGAGATTAGAGGCGTGAGCCAAGGCGCCGAGCCGTATTTTAAAAGAAATAATAGATAATGCTGAGTGTATAATTTCGGGTGACAGAGAAGTTCTCACTGATCAAATAATACTTGTGACCTTAATGAAAAAAATAGATCAACCCCTGGAAGATTGGCGGAAGGATTTTCCACACAGCTGTCAGCCGTGAAGGCACAAAGGTGAAAACAATGTTATGTGGAAGGAAGAGGCTCTGCCTGAAATGCTGGGAATGACATGGGGAGAATGACAAGACGACTGTAGAGAGACAGAGAGCACTCTGGGTACACAGGAAACTAAGGAGCAACAAGGAGTGTGTGTTTGACACTCACAGCCATTGGACTTACCTCGGGGCTAACTGGGAATCCCTACATGATGAATAGTGACTGACATGAAAATAAGGGAGGCCCAGGTGCATAACTGGAATCTAGGAGACTGTGGAAAAGGCAATTCCCGCCCCCCTGGTGAAATGTGGTGCTGATTTAGACACTAAATGAATGAAAGATGGACAAAAGATGTGTTTGTGAGGTAGAGTAATTTGCAGGGAGGGCTTGCCTGGTTTGATTTTTCCTAATTGTTTAATCTTCACTTCATTGATTTCTTTCTGAGATTTATTTTTCCTACATGTAAATCAATACTTGGCAGAGGAGTGAGAGATACATGAGGGGTGGTGCAAAGGAAGAGACCTATTATAATATAACACACAAGGTTCTGAACGGTGGCTCACACCTGTAACCCAACATTTTGGGAGGCTGAGGAGGCTGGATCAAGTGAGATCAGGAGTTCGAGATCAGCCTGGACAACATGGTGAAACCCCATCTCTACTAAATATACAAAAACTAGCTGGGGGTGGTGGCGCATGCCTGTAATACCAGCTATTCGGGAAGTTGAAGAAGGAGAATGGCTTCAACCAGGGAGGGAGAGGTTACAGTGAGCCAAGATCGCGTCATTGCACTGCACCCTAGGTGACAGAGTGAGACTCCATGGCAAAAAATAAAAATAAAGAATAAATAAATATAATATAACATACACGAATGACAAAGGCACACCAATTCCAATCATCATTTTTCTATTTCTCTATAATGACTTCTTTGATCCTTTATCCTATCCGTAAGAAAATCAGGCGAAAACATCTTCCTTATTTGGCTTTCTGTGAGCATGAGATCATATGGAAAATGTGAAACCCACCAGCACAGGTCCTGGAATAGAGAACGTGATCTGTTCATGGCACAAAACTTGCCCCTTCACCCAAATCCCCCACCTCACCCCTACTTCCAATCACATTAATGATACAGATAGATCATGGGGAGGTAAAAACTAATATTCTTTGGAGTTCAGATCGTAGACTCAGAGACCAGTGCCAGCACTATCTCCTGGTCACCTTTTGGAGTAATTCACAGAAAGACAGGCTGTATTGAAGCAACAGATGATGGAGGGGGTGGTCTTTCCCCCAGACTCTCGGGTGGAACAGCAGCCTAATATCTGACTCCCAAGATGACAAAAGTAGCATGTTGCCCACGAGCTTCATCATTATTTCCTGGCTGTTTGATATAAGACAGCTCAACCTCACTTATGTTGATTTCAATGTCACTGTTTTTTCCTTTTCTTGGAGAATGTAATTTGTTTGAGTCAAGAGGGTTGTGGATGTAGAAACTGTAAAGCACATTCACTGTGTATCAATCCCAGTCCAGTCTTCCCAGAGAAGACTCTAAACACCTCCCATACTGCACCTGGGCCTGTGCCAATTTCTATCACTCACCATCACTCCAGGGAGACAGAACACACAGGGAATACATTACATAGGCAGGTTCATTACTTATAGATAAGCAGCGAGTGACAACAGAAACCTTCCTTTCAGGGTGAGCCAGTCCCTCAAGGCTCAGAAAAACTGCTCAGGACACATGGAGTCACTTCATGTGCACTGTAGCTGGGGGAAGCCAGAAAGCAGCCCAGCCTGGGTTTTGTACCCTGGAGCCACAGGGAACACTCAGCTAAAGCACTGCATGATGTTCTCCTCCAGGAAGAACAGGAAGACAGCCCAGGCTGTTCTGAGACGTTCCTCCTGATCTCAGGATGTTGCTGTCTTAGCCTATTTTTGTTGCTATAAAAGAACACTTGAGCCTGGGTATCTTCTAAAGAAAAGAGATGTGTTTGGCTCACTGATCGGCACGCTGTAGTAGAAGCAGGACACTACCATCTATTTCTGGCTGCGGCCTCAGGCTGCTCCCACACTGACAGAAGAGAAGGGGGTCCTGCGTGTGCAGAGACCACAGAGATCACATGGCAAGAGAGGGAGAAAGGGGGTGTGATGGAGCTTCCAAGCTCTTTTTAAGAATCAACTCTCCAGGGTACTAATAGAGGGAGAACTTGCTAAACCCGTCCTCTGGGGACAGCATTAATCTATTCATGATGGATCCACCCCCATGACCAAAACACCCCTCCCAATAGGCACAACCTCCCACACTGGGGATTAAATTTCAAAGTGGGGTTTGGAGGGGTCAAACATTGAAACAATAGCAGTTGTATCATCAGCACATTCTATTGTTATTATGAAAACTATAACGGAGAAAGCAGGAGAAAGCTGGGTCTCCCGCCTCGTGGGTGCTTGTCCTAAAGAGGTGTTTTATGTGGTTGCCTGGCAACCAAGAAATGAGAGACAATCCACAAAGAGGAACTGCTATGGTTAGCTTCTTATTGGATTCTCATCTTCCTCCAGGTATCGCCAGACACCTGCATGCTGTGATTAGGTACTCAGTGGCCATCATCCTCTTCACCATCCTTCCCTTCTTTCTCCTTCATCGCTGGTGCTCCAAAAAAAAAAGTAAGCCTCACGAAGCAGAGGCCAGAGAACTCAGGGCCCTGTGCGGAAGCAGGATGGGAGCACGCAGGTGTGTGTTCCTCACTGGCAGGAAAGTCTCTGGCCCAAGGCAGGAGCCAGAGGCAGAGCTTTCTAGAGAGAGCACCAGACACCCTGCCCCTGCCTTCAGCTCACAGACCATTGCCTGATTGTGAACTGTATCCTCACGTCCCCTGCAGCCACTCACATCCAGGAGAAGATTCCATGACAGGCAGAAAGTGGGAGATAGAATCAATGGGATGGGAACTGACAGCTATTCATGGAATGGGGTCTTGCACTCAGAGAGATGGAATGTCTGAGTCTGGCTGTTGGCAGCTGAGGGACCTCAGGCACCTATGGCCTCCCCCTGTGTGTTGGTATCTGTTCATGAAATGAGGACCCAGAAGTGCCCTCCCAGCTGTTTTGATTGCTTCCGTCTCCTACAGATGCTGCTGTAATGAACCAAGAGCCTGCGGGACACAGAACAGTGAACAGGGAGGTAGGTCCTCCTAGCCCAGCCTCATGGATACAGTCTTATTCCCTAATAGTCCTGAAAAATGTGAACACCCTCCCTCACTCAGGATTTCCCTCTCTCCAGGACTCTGATGAACAAGACCCTCAGGAGGTGACATACGCACAGTTGGATCACTGCATTTTCACACAGAGAAAAATCACTGGCCCTTCTCAGAGGAGCAAGAGACCCTCAACAGATACCAGCGTGTGTATAGAACTTCCAAATGCTGAGCCCAGAGCGTTGTCTCCTGCCCATGAGCACCACAGTCAGGCCTTGATGGGATCTTCTAGGGAGACAACAGCCCTGTCTCAAACCCAGCTTGCCAGCTCTAATGTACCAGCAGCTGGAATCTGAAGGCGTGAGTCTCCATCTTAGAGCATCACTCTTCCTCACACCACAAATCTGGTGCCTGTCTCTTGCTTACCAATGTCTAAGGTCCCCACTGCCTGCTGCAGAGAAAACACACTCCTTTGCTTAGCCCACAATTCTCTATTTCACTTGACCCCTGCCCACCTCTCCAACCTAACTGGCTTACTTCCTAGTCTACTTGAGGCTGCAATCACACTGAGGAACTCACAATTCCAAACATACAAGAGGCTCTCTCTTAACACGGCACTTAGACACGTGCTGTTCCACCTTCCCTCGTGCTGTTCCACCTTTCCTCAGACTATTTTTCAGCCTTCTGGCATCAGCAAACCTTATAAAATTTTTTTGATTTCAGTGTAGTTCTCTCCTCTTCAAATAAACATGTCTGCCTTCATTCTTTAGGTGACTCTTTTTTTGGCTGAAAGTTTCCAGTGTTATCATTACCATGTCCAAATAACTCCAACTGTTCTCCACTGGGTTCTCACCCCTGGACTCTGAGCTTCTGGAAGCAGGGTGGAGCCTCATTTGTCTCTGAGACTCCAATTTCCATCCAAAGATGCAGCACATAAGAGGTTCCAAGGATCGTGAATCACATGAACAAGTGATATTCTTACTCTCTGCAGACCTGGAAAGCTGGCAGAGTCATTCCATGATGAAACATTTGTAGAGTCATAGGCCTTGTCAGTCTCATCTCCACGGGAACACATATCAACACATCATCTTTCATACTATAAATATACAGTCGGTCCTCTGTATCTGTGGGATTTACAGGTGTTTATTGAACCAAATATAAATCAAAAATATTCAGAGAAAAAATCCACAAAGTTTCAAAAAGCAAAACTATGTTGAATGGACACAAATGAAGCTGTGTGTAGGCTGTATCAGGAATTATAAATAATCAAGGGATGATTTCATGTACACAGGAGGATGTGCATGGGTTATTTGCAAATGCTGTGCCATTTCATGTAAGAGGCTTGAGCATCTGCAGATTGTGCTATCTGAGTGGAGATCCTGAAACCAATCACCCACGAATAGTGAGGGATGACTGTATATAATTTTTATTTCTCAATTTTAAATATAAAACATAAAAAAATTACAATAACAAGATAAAATAAACAAGTGTTTTATAGTGTGAGAATACGTTTAGATATATTTTTCTCTATGTGTAACCCTTGGGCCCATGTTATTTATTGAGAAGACATTCTATTCCACCTTAAACCACATGGCAGCCTTTGTCAACTATAAAGGGACTGTGTGTACACGGATGTATTTTAGACACTGTTTTCTGCTCAGTGGCTCTCTCTCTGTCCACTCTCTTGAGAATGCTGCATTTTATGCAGCCTTATACAACCCCTAAAATTTGGTAGCTGGAGTCCTCTAGTTATTTATTATAGGCTATTTGCTATGCTTTTTTTATTTTTCTTGAGGCAGAGTCTCGCTCTGTTGCCCAGGCTGGAGTGCAGTGGCACGATCTCGGCTCACTGCAACTTCCGCCTCCCAGGTTCAAGGGATTCCGTGCCTCAGCCTCTTGAATAGCTGGCATTACAAGTGCCTGCTACCAGGCATGGCTAATTTTTGTATTTTTAGCAGAGACATGGTTTCACTATATTGGCCAGGCTGGTCTCAAACTCCTGACCTCGGTTGATCACTCACTTCGGCTTCCAAAGTGCTGGGGAAATTGATTTTCTATAGCATTATGTTACTGGATATTTCTGTAAAATTTAAAATGAGGGAGGCAGAGAGACAGAGAGAGAGCAAACCATGAGTTGGAACTCTGGAATCTTGGGACATGAGACAAATTCTAGATAAATCTACAAAAATCCAGAATTTACATGTTGTGATTTTTGCTGATAAAGTACAATTCTAAGATTGTAAATAATTGCATAATCCTTCCCTGGGAGTTTAAATCATTTGAACTGGTTCTGCTGTAATACTAGAAATACAATCATGAAAAATTCTAATGGTTTATTAGTCACAATTGCTCTGAAAACCTTAATAATACCTATTAGATATTTTGCATATTACACAGGAAGAAGAGTTTGAATCTCAGATAAAAGCAATAAAAATACATGAAAAGTCTTTCATGTTAGCACAGATTTTAGGCATCTCGTGTTCGGGAGGTTGGATCTAAGACGTGTTTTGAGTTGGTCATAGTGAAGGACGCGAGGTGTCAATTCTAGTGAGAGCAATTTCCAGGAAGCCATGTTCCGCTCTTGAGCGAGCACCCACTGGGCCTCATGCAAGGTAGAAAGAGCCTGCGTACGTCACCCTCCCATGATGTGGTCAACATGTAAACTGCATGGGCAGGGCGCCAAATAACATCCTGTGCGCTGCTGAGCTGAGCTGGGGCGCGGCCGCCTGTCTGCACCGGCAGCACCATGTTGCTCATGGTCGTCAGCATGGCGTGTGTTGGTGAGTCCTGGAAGGGAATCGAGGGAGGGAGTGCGGGGATGGAGATCTGGACCTGGAGGTAAAGATATGGGCCTAGAGGTGGAGTTATGGGCCTGGAGGTGGAGTTATGGGCCTGAAGTGGAGATCTGGGCCTGGGGTGGAGATCTGGGCCTGGAGTGGAGATAGGGGCCTGGGGTGGAGATATGTGCCTGGAGTGGAGATCTGGGCCTGGAGTGGAGATATGGGCCTGGGGTGGAGATATGTGCCTGGGGTGGAGATATGGACCTGGAGGGGAGATATGGATGGGCCTGGAGGGGAGATGTGGGCCTAGAGGTGGAGTGATGGGCCTAGAAGTGGAGCGATGGGCCTGGAGTGGAGATATGGGCCTGGAGGTGGAGTTATGGGCCTGCAGTAGAGATATGGGCCTGAAGTGGAGATATGGGCCTGGAGTGGAGATATGGGCCTAGAGGTGGAGTTATGGGCCCGGAGGTGGAGTTAAGGGCATGAAGTGGAGATCTGGGCCTGGAGTGGAGATATGATCCTGGAGTGGAGATATGGGCCTGGGGTGGAGATACGGGCCTGGAGCAGACATACAAGCCTGGAAAGGAGATATGGGCCTGGAGAGGAGATAGAAGCCTGGAGTGGAAATATGGGCCTGGAGTGGAGATATGAGCCTGGAGTGGATATATGAGCCTGGAGTTGAGATAGGAGCCTGGAGTGGAGATATGGGCCTGGAGTGGACTTATCAGCCTGGAGAGGAGATATGGGTCTGGAGTGGAGATACGGACCTGGAGTGGAGATCTGGGCCTGTTGTGTAGATCTAGGCCTGGAGGTAGAGATCTGGGCCTGGAGGCTGAGTCTCTGCACAGCCGAGATCCTTGTTCCTGGGGGCAGGTAGGCAGCGAGGGTGAGTTTACCTTCAGCCCAGCAAGGGCCTGGCTGCCAAGACGCACAGCCCAGTGGGGGCAGCAGGGTGCCCTGGTTTGCCTGCAGATGGATGGTCCATCAGGATCTTTCTTTCTAGGGTTCTTCTTGGTCCAGAGGGCCGGTCCACACGTGGGTGAGTCCTTCCCCAAACCTTAGGGTGTCATCTCCCCACATAAGAGGATTTTCCTGAAATGGGAGGGAAGTCCTGTCGGGGAGTCTCTCATAAACTAGGAAGAGGGGACCCTCGGATGCTCGGCCCACATTTCTGACCTTGCCCTCCCCGGCCTTTCTTTCCCTTTCCTGAGTCAAGCTCTGTGAAGACTGGGGTGAGACTAGGGTGCTCCAAGATGGGTGTGCAGGGAGGAAGTGGTGTCAGCAGCAGAGAAAGAGAGGGAAGCAGTGCTAGGAACAGCAGGTCCTCTGAGGACAAAGGTGTAACTCACACCCTCCAGCGTTTCCGTGATGGTAGGGGCTGCAGTGTGGCTGTGGTCTTTCTACCAGAAAAGGTGAGGAAACCACAGCCATGGCCCTGACATTCCAAATCCTCTGATGGGGGCTCAGTTCATCAATTGGCTGATATTCCATTCACATAGGACTTGCCCTCCATGCCGTGTCTACTTTGTGTTGTTTTATATGAGTAATTTTGCAGTATTAAAATCTAGTAAGAGTTGCTTCTCCAGCACTTGCTCAAAGTTCTCAGCTGACACTTGTTGTAGGGAGACGCCATGTCTATGCAGGATGGGTCCTTCCTGTAGCCCTGGGCACCCAGGTGTGGTAGGAGCCTTAGAAAGTGGAAATGGGGAGAATCTTCTGGGCACTGGGAGTGAGGGGCGGCTCCACATCCTCCTCTCTAAGGCAGTGCCTCCTTCTCCCCCAGGTGGTCAGGACAAGCCCTTCCTGTCTGCCTGGCCCAGCGCTGTGGTGCCTCGAGGAGGACACGTGACTCTTCGGTGTCACTATCGTCATAGGTTTAACAATTTCATGCTATACAAAGAAGACAGAATCCACGTTCCCATCTTCCATGGCAGATTATTCCAGGAGAGCTTCAACATGAGCCCTGTGACCACAGCACATGCAGGGAACTACACATGTCGGGGTTCACACCCACACTCCCCCACTGGGTGGTCGGCACCCAGCAACCCCGTGGTGATCATGGTCACAGGTCAGAGGCTTTCCGTCTGGGCTTCTCACTGTCCCACCTCCTGAATCCCAGAGCTTCTGGTGGGGGTGTCCGTCAGGGTCCCATCACCCAGGCCCTGACTGTATTTGGGGTCAAGGGAGATTGAATACAGGGGAAATGGGTGCTGTGGTGGGAAGAATCACTGTCCCCAATGATGGCTACATTGTAATCCCTGGAGCCTGTGACTATTTATGTTACAGGGCAGGGGACTGAAGGGGAAGGTGGAGCTCAGGTTGTTGATGAGTTGACCTTGAGATGGGGAGACAGCCTGGACTGTCCCACTGGGCTCAGTGTAATCACAAGGGTCCACATGAGAGGTGGAGGAAGAGGGGAGTGGGGATTAGAGCAGTGTAGTGGGAGGGAGACGCTATCAGCCACTGCGGGCTTTGAAGGTGGAGGAAGACCACTAGTCACAGAATGCAGGTGGCCTCTAAGGGCTGGAGAAGTCAAGAGAACTGATTCGCTGATTCTCCAGAGGGAACGCAGCCCTGTAGACACCTTGATTTCAGCACAGGGAGAACTGGATCCAATTTCTGTCTCCAGAAGTGGAAGGGGTCAGTGTGTTCTCTCCCGCTGCCATGTTTGTGGTAATTTTCTGCAGCAGCAACAGGAAACCAACACAGGAACCCAGGTCAAGGACAAGTTAGGAAACCAAACAAGGATAGCCAGATGTGGTGGTGGGCGCGAGTAATCCAACGACTGGGGAGGCTGAGGCAAGAGAATCACTTGAACTGGGGATTTGTTCAAAAGAGATTGATTCAGGCTGCTAAGAGCCTGGACATGCAGCCTGTCCTCTTCCACCCCCACATAGACAGCAGGAAAGAGATTAGTGGGAAACAGATACAACAGCCCAAGAGATGAGGCTGTCTTCACAGTGGCAAGGGAGTCAGGGGCTACTGGAGACAGAGGGACAGAGAAGAGGGAGGAAGACAGATGGAGGCACCTGCACCAGGGGATATGGGCACAGAAAAGACACGGAGATGCAGAGAGGGAGGAGAGAGACAGACACGGGGAGGGGAACCCTCACTCATTCCAGGTGCCATGGATGGGATGATAAAGAGAGATGCCTTCTAAACTCACAACTTCTCTTTCTAGGAAACCACAGAAAACCTTCCCTCCTGGCCCACCCAGGTCCCCTGGTGAAATCAGGAGAGAGAGTCATCCTGCAATGTTGGTCAGATATCATGTTTGAGCACTTCTTTCTGCACAAAGAGGGGATCTCTAAGGACCCCTCACGCCTCGTTGGACAGATCCATGATGGGGTCTCCAAGGCCAATTTCTCCATCGGTCCCATGATGCTTGCCCTTGCAGGGACCTACAGATGCTACGGTTCTGTTACTCACACCCCCTATCAGTTGTCAGCTCCCAGTGATCCCCTGGACATCGTGGTCACAGGTGAGAGTGTCTAGACATTGTTCTCATTGTCACTGGGACACAGAGTGAATGATCCAGGACTTGGAACCCCCAGGTGGTCATGAGGAAGATAAGTGTGGGATTCTTATGGAAAGAGAGTGACTTGGTGAGGTCTGTACCAACAGAGACAGAGAAACAGGAGACATAAGTACAGAACAGGTGTCATAACAGAGGACAGACACAGGGGCCATACAGGGAGGTAGAAAAGAGAGAAAGAGGTAAAGGAGACACTCAGACAGACAGACATGTCCCAGAGAGAGGTGTCCTTCCATGCTGACTTTGCTCAGAGACCTGGCACAGGTTAGAAGTTTCATTTCTGTTTTACCTCCACAAAGTGTTCCTACCAGAAGAACCCAAGGACACCCATATTTCTGACCTGAGTTGGGCCCTGTGGCCTCAGGCCTTGTGCCACCTACAGATGCCGTGTTTATTCTGACACCTCTGCCTTCCATGCAATGGAGAGTAATCATCCCAGGATATCATGGCCCCTGAACACCAACCCCTGTATGCTGTGTGAACTTGGGGTCCCCAGACTGGATTCTGAGGCTCATATTCCAAATAATCCCACATATGATAGGATCGCTGAGAGACACAGAGAAAAATCAGGGACACCAAAAAGCAAAGACATAAACACACACAAAATGAGCCAGAAGAAGGAGATTAAGAGATTCACAGACACATAAAAAGAAAGAAAAGAGGGCAGAGTGGAGAGAATGATGGAAAGGAGGAGAGAAAAGCCCCAAAATCAGAACCCTGAGGGAGGGACACAAAGACAGAGAAAGATAAATATGTGGGGATGGATTGCAGAGATTCCAAATAGAACTAGAGAGACTGAGAGGCAGAGAAAGACAAGGAGACGGAGAGAGAGAGATGATAGATGGATAGATAGACGTAGATAGATGATAAATAGGTAGATGATAGATAATGGATTGGTTATAGATACATAGATGATGACTGATAGATGATACATAGAGATGACGATGATGATGATAGACACATAGATATATACATAGATGATACATAAATAGAGACAGAGAGGCAGACAGAGAGGTAATAGAGAGAGAGATAGATGATACATATATAGATAATAGATGATTGATGGATAGATAGACAGACAGACAATTGATAGAGAGATAGATAAGTGATACATAAATATAGATGATAGATAATTTGTAGATAGACACAAAATAGATAAATAGATAGAAATGTGCAGAAAGTTATGAACAAGGCAGAAAGTGAGAGACTCAAAATTAAAGAAAAAGGAAGATCAAGTCAACCAATCCAAGGAGGGTCAGAGAGAATAAAACAATCCAAAAAGGGAAAACATACCTCAGGGTGGGGAAGTGAGGTCATAGACCTAGAGAGACAGAAAAGGTAGAAGGAGGAAACAGATATGAAGAGAGATGGGGTGGAGGGTGAGAGAGAGAGAGAGAGCATTAGGTCATAGAGCAGGGGAGTGAGTTCTCAGCTCAGGTATGAGGGGAGCTATGACAAGGAAGAACCTCCCTGAGGAAACTGCCTCTTCTCCTTCCAGGTCCATATGAGAAACCTTCTCTCTCAGCCCAGCCGGGCCCCAAGGTTCAGGCAGGAGAGAGCGTGACCTTGTCCTGTAGCTCCCGGAGCTCCTATGACATGTACCATCTATCCAGGGAGGGGGGAGCCCATGAACGTAGGCTCCCTGCAGTGCGCAAGGTCAACAGAACATTCCAGGCAGATTTCCCTCTGGGCCCTGCCACCCACGGAGGGACCTACAGATGCTTCGGCTCTTTCCGTCACTCTCCCTACGAGTGGTCAGACCCGAGTGACCCACTGCTTGTTTCTGTCACAGGTGAGAAAAGCCCATATCTCTCTCATGTCCTATGATCCTAAATCCTTAGCTAAGGAGCTTCCTGCTGATGATGGAGAAAAGCATGGACAGATGCAGAGAGAAGACACAGCAGGTGTGAGGGCGGAGTCAGGGCGCAGGATGGCAGACAGGGCACCTCCAAACCCTCCTTCATGGCCTGCATGGAGGCCTCCGATCAGGGCTCCAGGCACCCAGGCAGATGGAGAAAGCGGTCAGGACAGACCCAGAGAAGGGGAGACTGGGCTTAGTTTGGGGAGATCAGAGGTTCCCTCAGCCCCTCAATCTTATCCATTTCCCAGAAGCCCATCATGGCCTCTCACCCACACAGAGAGATATCATCACCAGCAACCCCTACACCCTTTTCTTTTCATTTTCAAAAATATTTATTGAGGTTAAATGTAACTATATAATTTACCACCTTTACCATTTTTAAAAGTAAAATCTAGTGGTCATAAATACCTTTATATGCTGGGTGTGGTGGTTCACGGTTGTAATCTCCGCGCTTTGAGAGGCCAAGGAAGGTGGATCATTTAAGATCAGGAACTCGAGATCACCCTGGCCAACATGTGGGAAATTCATCTTTACTAAACAGACAAGAAAAATTAGCCGAGCATGCTGGCATGCACCTGTAGTCCTAGCTACTTGGGAGGCTGAGGCAGGAGAAGCACTTAAAGCCAGGAGGCAGAGGTTGCACTGAGCCGAGATCATGCCACTGCACTGCAGCCTGGGAGACAGAGAGAGACTCTGTTTCTAAATAAATAAATACATCTATATTCTTTTTTTTGTTACCCTCCACCCTTCCCTTCCTGGCCTCTGGTGTCCACCATTGTATTCTCCACCTTCATGAGATCCACCTTTTATCTCCTGCATGTGGGTGAGAAATGGGAATCTTTGTAATGACCTCCAGTTCCATCCATGTGGCTGCAAATGACAGGATGTTATTGTTTCTATGGATGAGTAGTCTCCACTGTGTGTGTGTACCACAGTTCTCTATCCATTCACCCACTGATGGGCAGGTAGGTTGACTCCACATCTTGGCTACTGTGAACAGTGCTGGAACAGTCATATGAGTGCAGATATCACTTCGATACACTGATGTCCTTTCCTTTGGATATAAACCCAGTAGTGAAATTGCTGGACACTATGAAAGTTCTCTTTTTTTTTTTTTCTTTTTTGAGAAAGAGTTTCCCTCCTTAGTCCAAGCTGGAGTCTAAGTGGTGAGATCTTGGCTCATTGCAACCTGTGCCTCCTAGGTTCAAATGATTGTCCTGACTCAGCCTCCCTAGTAGCTGTGATTACAGGTGCACGCCACCATGCCTGGCTAATTTTTGTATTTTTTTAGCACAGACGGGATATCCCAATTTTGGGCAGGCTGCTCTCAAACTCCTGACCTCAAGTGAGGTGCCTGCCTCGGTTTCCCAAAGTGCTGAAGTTACAGGCATAAGCCACTATGCCCAGCCTCCTTTTAGTTTTTTAAAGATTTTCCATACTTTTCTCCATAATAGTTGTACTAATTTACATTCCTACCAACAGGGTACCAGGGTTCTCCTTTCTCTACCATCTTGCCAGCATTTGTTTTGCCTGTCTTGCAGTAAAAGCCATTTTACTTTACTTTATTTTATTTATTTATTTATGTTGAGATGGAGTTTCACTCATAGTCTCCCAGGCTGGAGTGCAAGGGTGTGATCTCAGCTCACTGCAACCTCCGCCTCCCGCGTTCAACTGATTCTCCTGCCTCAGCCTCCAAAGTAGCTGGGATTACAGGCATGTGCCACCACGCCTAGCTAATTTTTGTATGTTTAGTAGAGAGGGAGTTTCTCCATGATGGTCAGGCTGGTCTCCCGACCTCAGGTGATCCGCCCACCTCCGCCTCCTGAAGTGCCGGAATTACAGGCGTGAGCCACCGGCCTAAAAGGCATTTTAATGGGATGAGATGAAAACTCATCGCGATTGTAATTTACATTTCTCTGATGATGAGTGATGCCGAGTACTTTTTCATATACGTGATCGCCATTTCTATGTTTTGTTTGTGGAGAAATGTCTCCTCATGTCTTTTGCTCGTTTTTTAATTAAATTGTTTTATTGAGTTGTTTGAGCTTCTTATATTTCCAGTTATTAATCCCGTCTCAGATGAATAGTTTGCAAATATTTGCTCCTATTTTGTGGGTTGTCTCTTCACTTTGTTGGTTTATCTTTTGTGGTGCAGAAGTTGCTTGGTTTGATGTAATCCTAATGGTCTATTTTTTGCTTTGATTACTTGTGTTTTGAAGGTTTTAAACAAAATGTCTTTCGTCAGACAAATGTCTTCCCCATTATTTTCTTCTACATGTTTCATAGGTTCAGGCCTTAGACTCATGTTTTTAATCCATTTTCATTTGATTTTTGTGTATGGTGACAGGTATAGATGCAGTTTTATTCCTCTGCATGTAGATATCCAGTTTTCCCCACACCATTTATTGAAAAGACTGTCCTTTCCTGATTGTAAGTTCTCGGCACCTTTGTCAAAGTCCATTAAATGGGCTGGGTATGGTGGCTCACACCTGCAATTCCAGCACTTTGGGAGGCCGAGGCGGGTGGATCACCTGAAGCCAGGAGTTCAAGACCAGGCTGGCCAACAGAGTGAAACCTCGTCTCTACTAAAAATACAAAAATTAGCTGAGCATGGTGACCAGTGCCTGTAATACCACTACTCGGGTGTTTGAGGCAAGAGAATTGCTTGAATCCAGGAAGTGGAGGTTGCATTGAGCTGAGATTGCACCTCTGCACTCCAGCCTGCATGACAGAGCAAGATTCTATCACACACACACACACAAAAAGCCATTGGATGTAAATGCATGGATTATATCTGTGTTCTCCATTCTGTTTCATTTTTTATGTGCCTTTCTTTATGCCAATGTCATGCTGTTTTGCTTACTACAGCTCTGTAACATATTTCTAAGTCAGGTAGTGTGATGCTCCTGTTTTCTCTTTATACCTTCAAGTCTCAAGACAGTGGGCATCGCACACAAAAATTATGGAGAAGAGGATCCCAAGACTCCCAGGGTCCAACATTAGATAACAGAGTGTTGGCCATGAACCAACCTCAAAGATTTCCATTGAGTAGAGGACAAGCACCCTCATTTCCTCACATCTCTCCTGTCCCATGTTCTAGGAAACCCTTCAAGTAGTTGGCCTTCACCCACAGAACCAAGCTCCAAATCTGGTGAGTAAAGGACCCCTCTTATCTCTGCTTTTGGAAACCTGGGGAGGTGGAAGCCTTGGATGCAAGTGTTGGCTCAAACCTCCCAGCTCTTTGAATGAGGGCCTGTCTTCCACCATCTCTGAACTCCAGACACTCCAACAGTGAAAGGGATCTAGGGCCACCAAAGGGCTCAGCGAAGTCTCTTAACCTTTAATGTCCTGCAGGTGAGACCTCCTACAAGCTAGAAGAATGATTGCCAATCTGACATCCTTCTCAGGAAACATGCAGTGTTTTTTCTTCCTGCATTCCTAACTGGAGGATAAATTCCTGGGGACTTGAGAGAGGGAAGGGAAGGGAACATCTGATGAGGGCGAGGTGTTTTAGAGAAGTTCCACTTGCCAAGGAATGAATTACTGTTGGTCATGAAGCAACCCTGGCTGACTCAGCAGAGCAAGAGCCTTGCCGTAATAGAGAACAGAGCTCATGCACGCACACTTCGACTCACTGACTTATTCAGCCACGGCCCCATGCTCAGGCTGTGCAGTTGGAATCCTTTCCTATTGTTGCCATAACAAATTTCCACAAGATTCGTGGGTGAAAACAAAGCGGCTTTTTAATTATCTTACAGTGCTGTAGCTCAAAGTATGAAGTGCATCTCACTGGGCTAAAAACAAGGTGACAGCAAGGCTGTCTTCCCTTGCCTGAGGATTCCAGGCAAGAATCTGCTTCTCACTTGTCCCAGCTTCTAAAGGCTCCCAGTTCCTTGGCTCCTGGTCCCCTTCCTCCTTCCTCAAAGCCCACAAAGACTGGTCACATCTCACATGGCATCACTCAGACCCTTCTTCCTTACCACACCTCTTTCTCTGAATGCTGCTCTCCCTTCTTCCTTATCTTTTGAAAACTTGGGGATTCTATTGGGTTCACCAAGATGAAAATCCATCATAATCTCCCGGAAATCATTCAGGATACCCTTGTTTTAAGTTCAGCTGACTAGCAACCGTAATTCCATCTGCAATCTTCATTCCTTCTTTCCATGTAAAATAAGATATTCACAAGCTATGGAGGCCAGGACAGGGACATTTTGGGGTGGGACAGCATTCTCCTGCCTTCCACGAACGGTGAACAAGATGCATTTGGCCTCTGCTCTTGGGACACTGATATTGCAGATGGTTAAATGGGAGGGCAGAAAATGAATGCACAAGTGGACCAATAAATGAATGATCCATTGGGAAGCATCTGTGCATGAAATCTATTTGTTTGTTCGTTCATTTATTTATTGAGACAGAGTCTCCCTCTGTCTTCCAGGCTACAGTGCAGTGTCACGATCTTGGCTCACTGCAACCTGCGTCTCCTGGATCCAAGTGATTCTCCTGCCTCACCCTCTCGAGTAGCTGGGATTACAGGCAACTGCCACCATGCCCAGCTAATTTTTTTGTATATTTTTTGTAGAGAGGATGTTTCACCATGTTGGCCAAGCTTGTCTGAAACTCCCAACCTCAAGTGATCCGACCATCTCAGCAACCCAAAGTACTGGGATTACAGGCGTGAGCCACTTTGCCCAGCCAGAATTCAAAATAAATAATAGATAATGCTGAGTGTATAATTTTGGGTGACAGAGAAGGTCTCACTAATCAGATATTTGTGACATTAATGAAAAACACGGATTGAACCCCTGAAAGATTGGCGGAAGGATTTTGCACACACAGCTGTCAGCCGTGAAGGCAGAAAGCTGAAAACAATCTGATGTGGAAGGAAGAGGCTCTGCCTGAAATGCTGGGAATGAGGTGGGGAGAATGACAAGATGACTGTAGGGAGACGGAGAGCACACTGGGTACACAGGAAACTAAGGAGCAACAAGGAGTGTGTGTTTGACACTCACAGCCATTGGATTCACCTCGGGGTAGCCAGGAATCCCTACATGATTAATATGACTGACATGAAAATAAGGGAGGCCCAGGGGCGTAACTGGAATCTAGGAGACCGTGGAAAAGGCAATTCCCGCCCCACTGGTGAAATGTGGTGCTGATTTAGACCCTAAGTGGATGAAGCAGATGGATATAAGCTATGCTTGTGAGGTGGAATCATTTGCAGGGAGGGCTTGCTGGGTTTGAGTTTCCTAGTTGTTTAATCCTTGCTAAATTAATTTCTTTCTGAGATTTATTCCTCCTACACATAAATCAATACCTGGCAAAGGAGTGACAGATATATGAGGGGTGGTGGAAATGAAGGGACCTATTATAGCATAGTATACAAGTCTGTGAACGGTGGCTCACGCCTGTAACCCAGCACTGCAGGAGGCTAAGGCCAGTGGATTCCAAGAAGTCAGGAGTTCCAGACCAGCCTGGCCAACATGGTGAAACCCTATCTCTACATGGTGAAACCCTATCTCTCCTAAAAATACAAAAATTAGTCGAGCATGGTGGTGCATCCCTGTAATCCCAGCTCCTGCTCTGGAGGATGAAGCAGGAGAATGACTTCAACCCAGGAGGTGGAGGTTGCAGTGAGTGGAGATCGCATCACTGCACTCCAGCCTGGGTGACACAAGGAGACTCCATCTCAAAAAATAAAAATAAGAAATGCATAAATGTAATAAAACACACACGAATGACAAAGGCACCTGAATTCCCATCATCATTTTTCTATTTCTCTATAATTACTTCTTTGATCCTTTATCTTATCCATTAGGCAATCAGCCTAAAACCTCTTCCGTATTTGGCTTTCTGTGAGCATGAGATCATATAGAAAATGTGAAAGCCCGCTGAATCCTCCAGGACAAATCCTGGAATAGAGAAAGTGCTCTGGTCATCACAAAAAAAACTTGCCCCCTCACCCAAATCCCCCACCTCACCCCTACTTCCAATCACCTGTGGAGATACAGATAGATCATGGGGAGGTAAATGCTCATACTCCTTGGAGTGAGTCCAGATCTTGGAATCAGAGATCTGTGCCAGCACTAGCTCCTGCTCCCCTTTCCTACTAATTCACAGGAGGACAGGTGGTATTGAAGCAATAGATAGTCGAGGGGGTGGTCCTTCCCCCAGCCTCTCAGGTAGAACAGCAGCCTAACATGTGTCTCCCGAGATCACAAAGAGTAGCACATTTCACACGGGCTTCAACACTATTTTCTGGCTGTTTGACATAAGAGAATTCTACTTCGCTTTTTTTATATTGATTTCACTTTTGTTTCCTTTTCTTGGAGAATGCAAGTTGTTTAACTCAAGAATGCCGTGGATGTAGAAATCCTAAAGCACATTCGCTGTGTATCAATCCCAGTCCAGTCTTCCCAGAGAAGACTCTAAACACCTCCTGGACTGCACCTGGGCCTATGCCAATTCCTATCACTCACCGTCACTCCAGGGAGACAGAACACACAGAGAATACGTTACATAGGCAGGTTCATTACTAACAGATAAGCAGCGAGTGACAACAGAAGCCTACATTTCAATGTGAGCCAGTTCCCCAAGGCTCAGAAAAGCTGCTCGAGACATGTGGAGTCACCCCATTTGCAGTGTAGCTGGGGGAAGCCAGAAAGCAGCCCAGCCTGGGTTTTGTACCCTGGAGCCACAGGAAGCACTCAGCTAAAGCACTGCATGACGTCCTCCTCCAGGAAGAACAGGAAGACAGCCCAGGCTGTTCTGGGACGATCCTCCTGATCTCAGGACTTTGCTGTCTTAGTCCATTTTTGTTGCTCTAAAGGAACACTTGAGCCTGGGTAACTTCTAAAGAAGAGATTGGTTTGCCTCAACATTCTGCAGGCTGTACTGGAAGCATGGCACCAGCATCTATTTCTTATGATGGCCTCAGGCCGCTCCCACTCTGGCAGAAGGGAAGGAGAGTCTGTCTGTGCAGAGACCACAGAGATCACACGGCAAGAGAGGGAGCAAGGGGGAGGGGGAGCAATGGAGCTTCCAAGCTCTTTTTAACAACCAGCTCTCCAGGAACTAATAGAGAGGGAACTTGCTAACCCCGTCTCCTTGGGACAGCATTGATCTGTTCATGATGGATCCACCTCCATGACCCAAACACCTCCCAAGAGGCCCAACCTCCCACACTGGGGGTTAAATTTCAATGTGAGGTTTGAAGGGGTCAAACATCTCAACTAAAGTAGTTGTATCCTCAGCACGTTCCATGGTTACTATGAGAGCTATAACTGAGAAAGCAGGAGGAAGCTAGGTCTCCCGCCATCTGGGTGCTTGTCCGAAAGAGATGCTGTAAGTGGTTACCTGTCAATCAAGAAATGCAAGACAATTCATATAGAGAATCTGCTATGATTAGCTTCTTACTGGTGTCTCCTCTTCTTCCAGGTAACCCCAGACACCTGCACGTTCTGATTGGGACCTCAGTGGTCATCATCCTCTTCATCCTCCTCCTCTTCTTTCTCCTTCATCTCTGGTGCTCCAACAAAAAAAGTAAGTCTCACGCGGCACAGGCCAGAGAGCTCAGGGCCATGTGGGGAAGCAGGATGGGAGCACACAGCTGTGTGTTCCTCACTGGCAGGATGGTCCCTGGCCCAAGGCAGCAGCCACAGAGGCAGGACTTTCTAGAGAGAGCACCAGACTCCCTGCCCCTGCCTTCAGCTCACAGACCGTTGCCTGATTCTGAACTGTATCCTCATGTCCCCCGCAGCCACTCACATCCAGGAGAAGGTTCCATGACAGGCAGAAAGTGGGAGATAGAATCAATGGGATGGGAACTCAGAGCTATTCATGGGATGGGTCCTTGAGCTCAGAGAGATAGAATGTCTGAGTCTGCTGTTGGCAACTGAGGGACCTCAGGCACCTATGGCCTCCCCCTGTTTGTTGGTATCTGCTTAGGAAATGAGGACCCAGAAGTGCCCTCCGAGCTCTTTTGTTGACTTCCGTCTCCTACAGATGCTGCTGTAATGGACCAAGAGCCTGCAGGGAACAGAACAGCCAACAGCGAGGTAGGTGCTCCTCGGCCCAGCCTCGTGGCTAGTGTTATTCCCAAACAGTCCTGGAAAACGTGAGCACCCTCCCTCACTCAGCATTTCCCTCCCTCACTCAGCATTTCCCTCTCTCCAGGACTCTGATGAACAAGACCCTCAGGAGGTGACATATGCACAGTTGGATCACTGCGTTTTCACACAGAGAAAAATCACTCGCCCTTCTCAGAGGCCCAAGACACCCCCTACAGATACCATCTTGTACACGGAACTTCCAAATGCTAAGCCCAGATCCAAAGTTGTCTCCTGCCCATGAGCACCACAGTCAGGCCTTGAGGGCGTCTTCTAGGGAGACAACAGCCCTGTCTCAAAACCGAGTTGCCAGCTCCCATGTACCAGCAGCTGGAATCTGAAGGCGTGAGTCTTCATCTTAGGGCATCGCTCCTCCTCACGCCACAAATCTGGTGCCTCTCTCTTGCTTACAAATGTCTAGGTCCCCACTGCCTGCTGGAAAGAAAACACACTCCTTTGCTTAGCCCACAGTTCTCCATTTCACTTGACCCCTGCCCACCTCTCCAACCTAACTGGCTTACTTCCTAGTCTACTTGAGGCTGCGATCACACTGAGTAACTCACAATTCCAAACATACAAGAGGCTCCCTCTTGACGTGGCACTTACCCACGTGCTGTTCCACCTTCCCTCATGCTGTTTCACCTTTCTTCGGACTATTTTCCAGCCTTCTGTCAGCAGTGAAACTTATAAAATTTTTTGTGATTTCAATGTAGCTGTCTCCTCTTCAAATAAACATGTCTGCCCTCATTGCTTCAGGTAATGTGACACTGTATTCGCTGAAAGAAACCGCTGTTATCATTACCATGTCCACATAACCCTATCTGTTCTCCGCTAGGTTCTCACCCCTGGACTCTGAGCTTCTGGAAGCAGGGTGGAGCCTCATTTGTCTCTGGGACTCCAATTTCCATCCAAAGATGCAGCACATAGGAGGTTCCAAGGATCGTGAATCACATGAACAAGTGATATTCTTACTCTCTGCAACCTGGAAAGCTGGCAGAGTCATTCCACGATGAAACATTTGTAGAGTCATAAGCCTTGCTAGTCTCATCTCCATGGGGACACATATCAACACATCATATTTCATACTATAAATATACAGTCGCTCCTCCATATCTGTGGGGTTTACAGGTGTTTATTGAACCAAGTGTAAATCAAAAATATTCAGAGAAAATGTCCACAAAGTTTCAAAATGCAAAACTATGTTGAATGGACACAAATGAGGCAGTGTGTAGGCTGTATCAGGAATTATAAGTAATCAAGAGATGATTTCATGTATACAGGAGGATGTGCATGGGTTATATCCAAATGCTGTGTCATTTTATGTAAGAGGCTTGAGCATCTGCAGATTTTGGTACCTGAGTGGAGATCCTGAAACCAATCACCCACGAATAGTAAAGGATGACCGTATATGACTTTTATTTCTCAATTTTAAATATAAATCATAAAAAATGTACAATAACTAGATAAAAAGTAAGAAGTGTTTTTATAGTGTGAGAATAAGTTTAGATTTATTTTTTCCTACGTGTAACCCTTTGGTTTAATATTATTTATTGAGAAGACATTCTATGCCACCTTAAACCACACGGCAGCCTTTGTCAACTCTAAAGGGACTGTGTGTACACGGATGTATTTTAGACACTGTTTCTGCTAAGGGGCTCTCTGTGTCCACACTCTTGAGGATGCTGCACTTCATGTAGCCTTATAAAACCCTTTAAATTTAGTAGCCAGAGCCCTCTAATTTGTTATTATAGGCTACTTGCTATTTTTTTTTCTTGAGGCGGAGTCTTGCTCTGTCGCCCAGGCGGGACTGTAGTGGAGCAATCTCAGCTCACTGCAACTTCCGCCTCCCAGGTTCAGGCGATTCTCGTGCCTCAGTCTCTTGAGTAGCTGGCGTTTCAGGTGCCTGCCACCAGGCATGGCTAATTTTTGAATTTTTAGCAGAGACGCGGTTTCACTGTGTTGGCCAGGCTGCTCTCAATCTCCTCATCTCAGTTGATCCGCCCACCTCGGCTTCCCGACCTGCTGGGGGAAACTTGATTTTCTATAGCATTATGTTACTGGATATTTCTGTAAAATTTAAAATGAGGGAGGCAGAGAGACAGAGAGAGAGCAAACTCCAAAGTTGGGACTCTGGAATCTTGAGTCATGAGACAAATTATAGATAAAACTACAAAAATCCAGAATTTACATGTGTGGTTTTTGCTGATAAAGTACAATTCTAAGATTGTAAATAATTGCATAATCCTTCCCTGGGAATTTAAATCATTTGAACTGGTTCTGCTGTAATACTAGAAATACAAGCATGAACAATTCTAATGGTTTATTAGTCACAATGACTCTGAAAACACTAATAATACCTATTAGATATTTTGCATATTACACAGGAAGAAGAGTTCGAATCTCAGATAAAAACAATAAAAATTCATGAAAAGTCTTTCATGTTAGCACAGATTTTAGGCATCTCATGTTTGGGAGGTTGGATCTAAGACGTGTTTTGAGTTGGTCATAGTGAAGGACGCGAGGTGTCAATTCTAGTGAGAGCAATTTCCAGGAAGCCATGTTCCGCTCTTGAGCGAGCACCCACTGGGCCTCATGCAAGGTAGAAAAAGCCTGCGTACGTCACCCTCCCATGATGTGGTCAACATGTAAACTGCATGGGCAGGGCGCCAAATAACATCCTGTGCGCTGCTGAGCTGAGCTGGGGCGCGGCCGCCTGTCTGCACCGGCAGCACCATGTCGCTCATGGTCATCATCATGGCGTGTGTTGGTGAGTCCTGGAAGGGAATAGAGGGAGGGAGCGTGGGGATGGAGATCTGGGCCCAGAGGTGGAGATATGGGCCTGGAGGTGGAGTTATGGGCCTGGAGTGGAGATCTGGGCCTGGAGTGGAGATCTGGGCCTAGAGATGGAGTGATTGGCCTAGAAGTGGAGATCTGCGCCTGGAGTGGAGATCTGGGCCTGGAGTGAAGATCTGGGCCTGGAGTGGAGATATGGGCCTGGAGTGGGGATAGGAACCTGGAGTGGAGAGAGGAACCTGGAGGAGAGATAGGAACCTGGAGGGGAGGTAGGAGCCTAGGGTGGAGATATGGGACTGGAGTGGAGATATGGGACTGGAGTGGAGATATGGGCCTGGAGTGGAGTTATGGGCCTGGAGTGAAGTTATGGGCCTGGAGGTGGAGATATGGGCCTGGAGTGGAGATATGAGCCTGGAGTGGAGATATGGTCCTGGAGTGGAGATATGGGCCTGGAGTGGAGATATGGGTCTGCAGTGGAGATATGGGCCTGGAGGTGGAGATATGGGTCTGGAGTGGAGTTATGGGCCTGGAGTGAAGTTATGGGCCTTGAGGTGGAGATATGGGCCTGGAGTGGAGATATGGGACTAGAGTGGAGATAGGGGCCTGGAGGTGGAGATCTGGGCCTGGAGTGGAGATCTGGGCCTGGAGTGGAGATCTGGGCCTGGAGTGGAGATATGGGCCTGGAGTGGAGATATGGGTCTGCAGTGGAGATATGGGCCTGGAGGTGGAGATATGGGCCTGGAGTGGAGTTATGGGCCTGGAGTGAAGTTATGGGCCTGGAGGTGGAGATATGGGCCTGGAGTGGAGATATGGGACTAGAGTGGAGATACGGGCCTGGAGGTGGAGATCTGGGCCTGGAGTGGAGATATGGCCCTGGAGTGGAGATATGGGCCTGGAGTGGAGATATGAGCCTGGAGTGGAGATATGGCCCTGGAGTGGAGATATGGGCCTGGAGTGGAGATATGAGCCTGGAGTGGAGATATGGCCCTGGAGTGGAGATATGGGCCTGGAGTGGAGATATGGGCCTGGAGTGGAGATATGGGTCTGGAGTGGAGATATGGGCCTGGAGGTGGAGATATGGGCCTGGAGTGGAGATATGGGCCTGGAGGTGGTGATATGGGCCTGGAGTGTAGATATGGGCCGAGTGGAGATATGGGTCTGGAGTGGAGATATGGGCCTGGAGTGGAGATATGGGACTGGAGTGGAGATATAGGCATGGGGTGGAGACATGGGCCGGGAGTGGAGATATCGGACTGGAGTGGAGATACGGGCGTGGGGTGGAGATATGTGCCTGGAGGTGGAGATATGGGCGTGGGTTGGAGATATGGGCCTGGAGTGGAGATATGGGCGTGGGGTGGAGATATGGGTCTGGAGTGGAGACATGGGCATGGGGTGGAGATATGGGCCTGGTGTGTAGATATGGGCCTGGAGTGGAGATATGGCCCTGGAGTGGAGATATGGGCCTGGAGTGGAGATCTGGGCCTACGGTGGAGATATGGGCCTAGGATGGGGATATGGGCCTGGAATGGAGATATGGGCCTGGGTGTGGAGATATGGGACTGGAGTGGAGATATGGGCCTGATGTGGAGATATGGGCTTGGAGTGGAGATATGATCCTGGAGTGTAGTTATGGGCCTGGAAGTGGAGATCTGGGCCTGGGGTGGAGATATGGGCCTGGAGTGGAGATATGGGACTGGAGAGGAGATATGGGCCTGGAGTGGAGATATGGGCCTGGATTGGAGATATGGGCCTAGGGTGGAGATCTGAGCCTGGATTGGAGATGTGGGCCCGGATTGGCTATATGGGTCTAGGGTGGAAATATCGGCCTGGAGTGGAGATATGGGCCTGGAGTGGAGATATGGGCTTGGGGTGGGGATATGGGCCTGGAGGCTGGGTCTCTGCACAGCCGAGAGCACTGTTCTTGGGTGCAGGTAGGCACTGATGGTGAGTTTCCCTTCGGCCCAGGAAGGGGCTGGCTATCAAGACTCACAGCCCAGTGGGGGCAGCAAGGAAGGCCTTGTTTGCCTGCAAATGGATCTTCCATCATGATCTTTCTTTCCAGGGTTCTTCTTGCTGCAGGGGGCCTGGCCACAGGAGGGTAAGTCCTTCTCCAAACCTTAGGGTGTCATCTCCCCACATAAGAGGATTTTCCTGAAACGAGAGGGAAGTCCTGTCAGGGAGTCTCTCATAAACTAGGAAGAAGGGACCCTGGGGTGCTCGGCCCACAGTTCCGACCTTGCCTCCCTGGCCTCTCAACCCCTTGGCAGAGTCAAGTTGTGTGGGGACCAGGGTTGGACTAGGGTGTTCAAAGCTGGGTTGTGTGGTGGGGAAGTGGTAGGAACAGCAGATCCTCTGAGGACAAAGGTGTTACTCACACACTTCAGCGTTTCCATGACGGTAGGGGCTGCAGTGTGGCTGCTGTCATTCTACCAGAAGAGGTGGGAAACCACAGCCATGGCCCTGACATTCCAAATCCTCTGATGGGGCTAAGTTTTTTATTCTCATTCAGGCAACTGCTGATATTCCATTCTCAAAGGACATGCCCTCCACTTCATGTCTACCCTGTGTTGTTTTATGTCAGTAATCTTACAGTATTAAAATCTAGTAGGAGTCTCTTACTCAGCACTTGCTCAAAGTTCTCAGCTGACACTTTTGTTGTACGGAGACACCTTGTCTTTGTGGGATGGGTCCTTCCTTTAGCCCTAGGCACCAAGGTGTGATAGCAGCCATAGAAATGTGGAAAGTGGGGAGAATCTTCTGAGCACAGGGAGGGAGGCACAGCTCCACATCCTCCTCTCTAAGGCGGCGCCTCCTTCACCCCAAGGTGGTCAGGACAAGCCCTTGCTTTCTACCTGGCCCAGCCTTGTGGTGCCTCCAGAACATGTGACTCTTCAGTGTCACTCTAATCTTGGGTTTAACAACTTCAGTCTGTACAAGGATGATGGGGTGCCTGTCCCTGAGCTGTACAACAGAATATTCTGGAAAAGCCTTTTCATGGGCCCTGTGACCCCCTCACATGCAGGGACCTATAGATGCCGGGGTTCACACACACACTCCCCCAGTGGGTGGTCGGCACCCAGCAACCCCCTGGTGATCATGGTCACAGGTCAGAGGGCTCCTGTCTGGGATTCTCCTTGTCCCACCTCCTGAATCCCAGAGCTTCTGGTAGGCATGTCCTTGAGGGTCCCATCACGCAGGCCCTAACTGTATTTGGGGTAAAGGGGGATTGAATACAGGGAAATGGGTGCTGTGGTGGGAAGAATAAGTGTCCCCAATGATGACTGCATTCTAATCCCTGGAGTCTGTGACTATTTATGTTATAGGGGAAGGGACTGAAGGGGAAGATGGAGCTCAGGTTGTTGATGAGTTGACCTTGAGATGGGGAGACAGCCTGGACTGTCCCGGTGGGCTCAGTATAATCACAAGTGTCCACATGAAAGGAGGAGGAAGAGGAGAGTGGGGATTAGAGCAGCGTAGTGGGAGACTCCATCAGCTTTGAAGGTGGATGAAGGCCATAAGCCATGAATGCAGGTGGCCTATAGAGGCTGGGAAAGTCAAGTAACTGATTCTCCTGAGTCTCCAGAGGGAACACAGCCCTGCAGATGCCTTGATTTTAGCCCTCGAAAAACAGGGTCCGCTTTCTGTCTCCAGAATCGGAGGGGGTCAGTGTGCTCTCTCCTGCTGCCATGCTTCTGATAATTTTCTACAGCAGCAACAGGAAACCAACACTGGAACCCAGGTCAAGGACAAGTTAAGAAAAGACACAAGGATAGCCAGGCATGGTGGCAGGTGCATGTAATCCTAGCGACTCGGGAGGCTGAGAGCAGGAGAATCGCTTGAACCCAGGAGACAGAGGTTGCAGTGAGCGTAGACCACACCACTTCACTCCAGCCTGGGCGAAGGAGTGAGACTCTGTCTCCAAAATTAATTAATTAATTAAAGAAACCAAACAAAGAGAAGGTTGGCTACACCGAGATCAGCAAGGGTGGGATGATGATGCCACCACCAGGCTCCATCCACATAGGGAGGGGTTGATACTCCTCAAATCAGCACGAGGAGCCAGCCTATGGAAACTGGCACCATGGAGAAGGCACAGGCATGGCAAGAGTGGCTCCCAGTCCCCACCAGGAACAGGGTGTGTGGACACTGGTGCCTGCCTTACTGATCAGTTCATACCTCCTGCCAAGGATTCCAATTCGTCCAAAAGAGATTGAACCAGGCTGCTAAGAGCCGGGACGTGCAGCCTATCCTGCTTCCTCTTCCACTCCCACATAGACAGTAAGAAAGACATTAGTGTGAAATAGATACAACAGCCCAAGAGATGAGGCTGAGCCCAGTGGGAAGGGAACCACAGCTACTAGAGACAGAGAGACAGAGAAGAGGGAGGGAGACAGATGGAAGGACCTGCACCAGGAGTTATGGGCACAGAAAAGAACATGAAGACACAGAGAGGAAGCAGAGAGACAGACACCAGCGAAGGGAAGGCTCACTCATTCCAGGTGCCATGGATGGGATGATAAAGAGAGACACCTTCTAAACTCACAACCTCTCTTCCTAGGAGTCCACAGAAAACCTTCCTTCCTGGCCCTCCCAGGTCACCTGGTGAAATCAGAAGAGACAGTCATCCTGCAATGTTGGTCGGATGTCATGTTTGAGCACTTCCTTCTGCACAGAGAGGGGAAGTTTAACAACACTTTGCACCTCATTGGAGAGCACCATGATGGGGTTTCCAAGGCCAACTTCTCCATTGGTCCCATGATGCCTGTCCTTGCAGGAACCTACAGATGCTACAGTTCTGTTCCTCACTCCCCCTATCAGTTGTCAGCTCCCAGTGACCCTCTGGACATGGTGATCATAGGTGAGAGTGTCCAGACTTTCTTCTCATTGTCATTGGGATGCAGAGTGAATGATCCAGGACTTGGAGACCCAGGTGGTTGTAAGGAAGATGAGCTTGGTATTCTTATGGAGAGAGACTGACTTGGTGAGGTCTGTGCCAACAGAGACAGAGAAACAAGAGACACAAGTACAGACCAGGTGTCATAACAGAGGACAAACACAGGGGCCATACAGGGAGTTAGAAAAGACAGAAAGAGTTAAAGGAGACAGACAGACATGTCCCAGACAGAGGTGTCCTTCCATGCTGACTTTGCTCAGAGACCTGGCACAGGTTAGAAGTTTCATTTCTGTTTTACCTCCACAAAGTGTTCTCTACCAGGAGAACCCAAGGACACCCATATTTCTGACCTGAGTTGGGCCCTGTGGCCTCAGGCCTTGTGGCACCTACAGATGCCATGCTTATTCTGACACCTCTGACTTCCATGCAATGGAGAATAATCGTCCCAAAATATCATGGCCCCAGAACACCAACCCCTGTATGCTGTGTGAACTTGTGGTCTCCAGACTGGATTCTGAGGCTCACATTCCAAATAACCCCACATATCACATATGAGAGGATCACTGAGAAGCACAGAGAGAAATCAGGGACACCAAAAAGCAAAGACATAAACACACAGAGAAAGAGCCAGAGGAAGGAGATTGAGAGACTCACAGACACATAAAGAGAGAGAAGAGGGCAGAGAAGTGGAGAGAATGATGGAAGAGAGCAGAGAAAACCACTAAAATTAGAGTCCTGAGGGTGAGGCACAAGGGCATAGAAAGATGGAGATGTGGGGATGAATTGCAGAGATTCCAAAGAGAACTAGAGAGACCGAGAGGCAGAGCAAGACAGATGATAGATGGATAGATACAGATAGATGATGGATAGATATAGATAGATGATATATAGGTAGATGATAGATAATAGGTTATAGATACATAGATGATGATTGATTGATTCATTAATAGATGATACATAGAGATGATGATGATGAAGATAGATGGATAGATAATACATAGAGATAGAGAGGAAGACAAAGAGAGAAATAATAGAGAGAGAGAGATGATACATATATATAGATAATAGATGATTGACGGATAGACAATTGATAGATACATAGATGATATATAGATATAGATGACAGGTAGAGAATTTGTAGATAGGCACCGAATAGATAAATAGATGGATTGATAGATAATAGATAGAAATATGCAGAAAGTTATGAACGGGACACAAACTGAGAAACTCAGAGTTAAAAAAAGTAACATCAAGTCAACCAATCCAAGGAGAGCCAGAGAGAATAAAACAATCCAAAAACGGAAAACATAACTAGAGGTAGGGAAGTGAGGTCAGAGACCTACAGACACAGAGAAGGTGGAAGGAGGAAATAGACATGAAGAGAGATGGGGTGGAGGGTGAGACAGAGAAAGAGAGCATTAGGCCATAGAGCAGGGGAGTGAGTTCTCAGGTCAGGTGTGAGGGGAGCTGTGACAAGGAAGATCCCCCCTGAGGAAACTGCCCCTTCTCCTTCCAGGTCTATATGAGAAACCTTCTCTCTCAGCCCAGCCGGGCCCCACGGTTCAGGCAGGAGAGAATGTGTCCTTGTCCTGCAGCTCCATCTATCCAGGGAGGGGGAGGCCCATGAACGTAGGCTCCCTGCAGTGCGCAGCATCCACGGAACATTCCAGGCCGACTTTCCTCTGGGCCCTGCCACCCACGGAGGGACCTACAGATGCTTCGGCTCTTTCCGTGACGCTCCCTACGAGTGGTCAAACTCGAGTGATCCACTGCTTGTTTCCGTCACAGGTGAGGAAACCCCATATCTGTCCCATGTCCTATGATCCTAGAGCCTTAGCTGAGGAGCTTCCTGCTGATGATGGAGAGAAGCATGGACAGATGCAGAGAGAAGACGCAGCATGCCTGTGAGGGAGGGATCAGGGTGCAGGATGGCACACACAGCACCTCCAAACCCTCCTGCATGGCCTGCATGGAGGCCTCCGATTAGGGCTCCAGGCACCCAGGCAGATGTAGAAAGCGGTCAGGAGAGACCCAGAGAAGGGGAGACTGGGCTCAGTTTGGGGAGATCAGAGGTTCCCTCAGCCCCTCAACCTTACCCATTTCCCAGAAGCCCTTCCTGGCCTCTCACCCACACAGAGATGTCATCACCAGCAACCCCTACATCCTTTTCTTTTTGTTTGAAAAAATATTTATTGAGGTTAAATATACCTATATAGCTTACCACTTTTAACATTTTTTTTTTTTGAGGTGGAGTCTAGCTCTGTCTCCTATGCTGGAATGCAGTGGCACAATCTCAGCTCACTGTAACCTCCGCCTCCTGGGTTCAAGCGATTCTCCTGCCTCAGCCACCTGAGTAGCTGGTACTACAGGCGCCCATCACCACGCCAGGCTACTTTTTGTATTTTTAGTAGAGAGGGGGTTTCACCATGTTGGTCGAGCTGCTCTGGAACTCCTGACCACGTGATCCACCCGCCACAGGCTCCCAAAGTGCTGGGATTACAGGCATGAGCCACCGCGCCCGGCCACGTTTACCAATTTTAAGTGTAAGGTCTAGTGGTCATAAATACATACATATAAATTTTTTGTTTGTTTGTTTTATCCTCCACCCTTTTCTTCCTGGCCTCTGGTAGCCACCATTCTACTCTCTATCTTCATGAGATCCACCTTTTAGCTCCTGTATATGGGTGAGAAATGAGAATATTTGTAATGACTTCCAGTTCCATCCATGTGGCTGCAAATATCAGGATGTTATTCTTTCTATGGATGAGTAGTCTCCGCTGTGCGTATGTACTACATTCTCTCTATCCATTCATCCACTGATGGGCAGGTAGGTTGACTCCACATCTTGGCTACTGTGAAGAGTGCTGCACCAATCATACGAGTGCAGATATCACTTCGATACATTGATTTACTTTCCTTTGGATATAAACCCAGTAGTGAAATTGCTGGATACTATGAAAGTTCTCTTTTTAGTTTTTCGTTTGTTGTTTTGTTTTTGTTTTTGAGACAGTTTCCCTCTGTGCCCAGGCTGGAGTACAAGTGATGTGATCTTGGCTCATTGCAACCTCCGCCTCCTGGGTTCAAATGATTTTCCTGCCTCAGCCTCCCTAGTAGCTGGGATTACAGGTGCACGCCACCATGCCGGGATACTTTTTGGTTTTTTTTAGTGTACATGGGGTTTCCCCAGGTTGGCTAGGCTGCTCTCAAACTCATGACCTCAACTGAGGTGCCCGCCTCGGTCTCCCAAAGTGCCGGGATTACAGGCATGATCCACTTCATCCAACCTCTTTTTAGTTCTTTAAAGGACTTCCATACTTTTCTCCGTAATGGCTGTACTAATTTACACTCCTACCAACAGGGTACCAGGGTTCTCCTTTCTCTACCACCTTGCCAGCATTTGTTTTGCCTGTCTTGCAGCTAAAAGCCATTTTATTTTATTTCATTTTATTTTGAGATGGAGTTTCGCTCTTGTCACCCAGGCTGGAGTGCAGTGGTGCGATCTCGGCTCACCGCAACCTCCACCTCCCAGGTTCAAGCGATTCTCCTGCCTCAGCCTCCCGAGTAGCTGGAATTACAGGCACACGCCACCACGCCCGACTAATTTTTGTATTTTTAGTAGAGACAGTGTTTCTCCATGTGGGTCAGACTGGTCTCAAACTCCCGACCTTATGAGATTCGCCCACCTCGGGCTCTCAGAGTTCTAGGATGACAGACATGAGCCACCTCGCCCGGCCTAAAAGCCATTTTAATGGGGTGAGATGAAAACTCACTTTGATTTTAATTCGCGTTTCTCTGATGATGAGTGATACTGAGCACTTTTTCGTATGTGGGGAAATTTCATGTCTTTTGCTCCTTTTTCAATTAAATCATTTGTTTTATTGAGTTGTTTGAGCTTCTTATACTTCTAGTTATTAATCCCGTCTCAGAAGCATAGTTTGCACATATTTGCTCCCAATCTGTGGGTTGTCTCTTCACTTTGTTGGTTTATTTTTAGCGGTGCAGAAGTTGCTTAGTTTGAGGTAATCCCAATGGTCTATTTTTGCTTCAATTACTTGTGTTTTGAAGGTTTAAAACAAAATGTCTTCCTTCAGACAAATGTCCTGGAGCATTTCCCCAATATTTTCTTCTACGTGTTTCACAGGTTCAGGCCTTAGACTTACATCTTTAATCCACTTTCATTTGATTTTTGTGTATGGTGACAGGTAGAGGTGCAGTTTCATTCCTCTGCATGTAGATGTCCAGGTTTCCCTGCACTGTTTATTGAAAAAACTGTCCTTTCCTGATTGTGAGTTCTTGGCACCTTTGTCAAAGTCCATTGGATGGGCTGGGCATGGTGGCTAACACCAGCAACTTCAGCACTTTGGGAGGCCAAGGCTGGTGGATCACCTGAGGACAGGAGTACAAGATTACTCTGGCCGACGTGATGAAACATCGTCTCCACTAAAAATATAAAAATTAGCTGAGCATGGTGGTCAGCACCTGTAATACTACTACTCAGGAGTTTGAGGCAAGAGAATTGATTGAACCCAGGAGGCTGAGGTTGCAGTGAACCGAGATTGCACCTCTGCACTCCAGCCTGGGTGACAGAGCGAGACTCCATCTCAAAAGAAAAAATAAAAAAAATTGGATGTAAATGCATGGATTATATCTGTGTTCTTCATTCTGCTCCGTTGTTCTATGTGCCTTTCTTCATGCCAACATCATGCTGTTTTGCTTACTACAGCTCTGTAACATATTTTGAGATCAGGTAGTGTGATGCTCCTGTTTTCTCTTTATACCTTGAAGTCTCAAGACAGTGGGCGTCACATACAAAAATTATGGAAGAAAGGATCCCTGGACTCCCAGGGCCCAATGTTAGATAACAGAGTGTTGGCCATGAACCATCCTCAAAGATTTCCATTGAGTAGAGGACAGACACCCGCATTTCCTCACCTCTCTCCTGTCTCATGTTCTAGGAAACCCTTCAAATAGTTGGCCTTCACCCACTGAACCAAGCTCCAAAACCGGTGAGTACAGGACCCTCTTATATCTGCTTTTGGAACCCTGGGGAGGTGGAAACCTTGGATTCAGGCGTTGACTCAGCATCTCACAGCTCTGACATTGTACGCCTGTCTTCTACCATCTCCGAACTCCAGATACTCCAACAGCGAAAGGGATCTGGGCCCAACACAGGGCTCAGTGAAATCTCTTCATCTCTCATTTTATGGAGCTGAGACCTCCTACAAGCTAGAAGAATGATTGCCAATCTGACATCCTTCTCAGGAAAAATGCAATGTTTGTTCTGCTTGCATTCCTAACTGGAGGATAAATTCCTGGGGGCTTGAGAGAGGGAAGGGAAGGGAACATCTGATGAGGGCGAGGTGTTTTAGAGAAGTTCCACTTGCCAAGGAATGAGCTCCTGTTGGTCATGAAACAACCCTGGCTGACTCAGCAGAGCAAGAGCCTTGCCGTAACAGAGAACAGAGCTCATGCACGCACACTTCGACTCACTGACTTATTCAGCCACGGCCCCATGCTCAGGTTGTGCAGTGTGGAAGCTTTTCCTATTGTTGCCATAACAAATTTCCACAAGATTCGTGGGTGAAAACAAAACGGTTATTTAATTATCTTACAGTGCTCTAGCTCAAAGCATGAAGTGCATCTCACTGGGCTAAAATCAAGATGACAGCAAGCCTGCCTTCCCTCTGAGGATTCCAGGCAAGAATCTGCTTCTCACTTGTCCCATCTTATAAAGGCTCCCAGTTCTTTGGCTGCTGGTCCCCTTCCTCCTTCCTCAAAACCCACAAAGACTGGTCACATCTCACATGGCATCACTCAGACCCTTCTTCCTTACCACACCTCTTTCTCTGAATGCTGCTCTCCCTTCTTCCTCATCTTTTGAAAACTTGGGGATTCTATTGGGTTCACCAAGATGAAAATCTGTCATAATCTCCCGGAAATCATTCAGGATACCCTTGTTTTAAGTTCAGCTGATTAGCAACCGTAATTCCATCTGCAATCTTCATTCCTCCTTTCCATGTAAAATAACATATTCACAAGCTATGGAGGCTAGGACAGGGACATTTTGGGGTGGGACAGCATTCTCCTGCCTTCCACAAATGGTGAACAAGATGCATTTGGCCTCTGCTCTTGGGACACTGATATTGCAGATGGTTAAATGGGAGGACAGAAAATGAATGCACAAGTGGACCAATAAATGAATGATCCATTGGGAAGCATCTGTGCATGAAATCTATTTGTTTGTTTGTTCGTTTGTTTATTGAGACAGAGTCTCCCTCTGTCTTCCAGGCTACAGTGCAGTGTCACGATCTTGGCTCACTGCAACCTGCGTCTCCTGGATCCAAGTGATTCTCCTGCCTCACCCTCTTGAGTAGCTGGGATTACAGGCAACTGCCACCATGCCCGGCTAATTCTTTTTGTATATTTTTTGTAGAGAGGATGTTTCACCATGTTGGCCAAGCTTGTCTGAAACTCCCAACCTCAAGTGATCCGACCATCTCAGCATCCCAAAGTACTGGGATAAAAGACGTGAGCCACTGTGCCCAGCCAGAATTCAAAATCAATAATAGATAATGCTGAGTGTATAATTTTGGGTGACAGAGAAGGTCTCACTATTCAGATATTTGTGACATTAATGAAAAACACGGATTGAACCCCTGAAAGATTGGCGGAAGGATTTTGCACACACAGCTGTCAGCCGTGAAGGCAGAAAGCTGAAAACAATCTGATGTGGAAGGAAGAGGCTCTGCCTCAAATGCTGGGAATGATGTGGGGAGAATGACAAGATGACTGTAGGGAGACGGAGAGCACACTGGGTACACAGGAAACTAAGGAGCAACAAGGAGTGTGTGTTTGACACTCACAGCCATTGGACTCACCTCGAGGTAACCAGGAATCCCTACATGATTAATATGACGGACATGAAAATAAGGGAGGCTCAGTTGCATAACTGGAATCTAGGAGACCGTGGAAAAGGCAATTGCCGCCCCACTGGTGAAATGTGGTGCTGATTTAGACACTAAATGAATGAAGTAGATGGATATAAGATATGCTTGTGAGGTAGAATCATTGGCTGGAAAGGCTTGCTGGGTTTGATTTTCCTACTTGTTTAATCCTCGCTTAATTAATTTCTTTCTGAGATTTATTCATCCTACACATAAATCAATACCTGGCAAAGGAGTGACAGATATATGAGGGGTGGTGGAAATGAAGAGACCTATTATAGCATAATATACAAGTTGTGAACGGTGGCTCACGCTTGTAACCCAGCACTGCAGGAGGCCAAGGCGGGTGGATTCCATGAAGTCAGGAGTTCCAGACCAGCCTGGCCAACATGGTGAAACCCTATCTGTACTAAAAATACAAAAATTAGCCGAGCATGGTGGTGCATCCCTGTAATCCCAGCTCCTACTCTGGAGGATGAAGCAGGAGAATGACTTCAACCCAGGAGGTGGAGGTTGCAGTGAGTGGAGATTGCATCACTGCACTCCAGCCTGGGTGACACAAGGAGACTCCGTCTCAAAAAATAAAAATAAGAAATGCATAAATATAATAAAACACACACGAATGACAAAGGCACCTGAATTCCAATCATCATTTTTCTATTTCTCTATAATTACTTCTTTGATCCTTTATCTTATCCATTAGGCAATGAGCCTAAAACCTCTTCCCTATTTGGCTTTCTGTGAGCATGAGATCACATAGAAAATGTGAAAGCCCGCTGAATCCTCCAGCACGGATCCTGGAATAGAGAAAGTGCTCTGGTCATCGCAAAAAAAAACTTGCCCACTCACCCAAATCCCCCACCTCACCCCTACTTCCAATCACCTGTGGAGATTCAGATAGACCATGGGGAGGAAACATTAATACTCCTTGGAGTGAGTCCAGATCTTGGAATCAGAGATCAGCGACAGCACTAGCTCCTGCTCCCCTTTCCTACTAATTCACAGGAGGACAGGTGGTATTGAAGCAATAGATGGTCGAGGGGGTGGTCCTTCCCCCAGCCTCTCGGGTAGAACAGCAGCCTAACATGTGTCTCCCGAGATCACAAAGAGCAGCACATTTCACACGGGCTTCAACACTATTTCCTGGCCGTTTGACATAAGAGAATCTTGCTTCGCTATTTTTAATCGTGATGTCACCTTTGTTTCCTTTCCTTGGTGAATGCAATTTGTTTGACTCAAGAATGCTGTGGATGTAGAAATCCTAAAGCACATTCGCTGTGTATCAATCCCAGTGCAGTCTTCCCAGAGAAGACTCTAAACAAATCCTGGACTGCACCTGGGCCTATGCCAATTCCTATCACTCACCGTCACTCCAGGGAGACAGAACACACAGAGAATACATTACACAGGCAGGTTCATTACTAACAGATAAGCAGCGAGTGACAACAGAAGCCTGCATTTCAATGTGAGCCAGTCCCTCAAGGCTCAGAAAAGCTGCTCGGGACATATGGAGTCACCCCATTTGCAGTGTAGCTGGGGGAAGCCAGAAAGCAGCCCAGCCTGGGTTTTGTACCCTGGAGCCACAGGAAGCACTCAGCTAAAGCACTGCATGACGTCCTCCTCCAGGAAGAACAGGAAGACAGCCCAGGCTGTTCTGAGACATTCCTCCTGATCTCAGGATGTTGCTATCTTAGTCCATTTTTGTTGCTCTAAAGGAACACTTGAGCCTGGGTAACTTCTAAAGAAAAGAGATTGGTTTGCCTCACAGTTCTGCAGGCTGTACTGGAAGCATGGCACCAGAATCTATTTCTCGTGACGGCCTCAGGCTGCTCCCACTCTGGCAGAAGGGAAGGAGGGTCTGTCTGTGCAGAGACCGCAGAGATCACACGGCAAGAGAGAGAGTAAGGGGGAGAGGGAGCAATGGAGCTTCCAAGCTCTTTTTAACAACCAGCTCTCCAGGAACTAACAGAGGGGGAACTTGCTAACCCCGTCTCCTTGGGACAGCATTGATCTGTTCATGATGGATCCACCTCCATGACCCAAACACCTCTGAAGAGGCCCAACCTCCCACAATGGGGGTGAAATTTCAATGTGAGGTTTGAAAGGGTCAAACATCTCAACTAAAGTAGTTGTATCCTCAGCACGTTCTATGGTTACTATGAGAGCTATAATTGAGAAAGCAGGGGAAAGCTAGGTCTCCCGCCATTTGGGTGCTTGTCCTAAAGAGACGTTGTATGTGGTTACCTGCCAATCAAGAAATGCGAGACAATTCATAAAGAGGAACTGCTATGATTAGCTTCTTATTGGTGTCTCCTCTTCTTCCAGGTAACCCCAGACACCTACATGTTCTGATTGGGACCTCAGTGGTCAAAATCCCTTTCACCATCCTCCTCTTCTTTCTCCTTCATCGCTGGTGCTCCGACAAAAAAAGTAAGTCTCACGAAGCAGAGGCCAGAGAGCTCAGGGCCATGTGGGGAAGCAGGATGGGAGCACGCGGATGTGTGTTCCTCACCAGCAGGATGGTCCCTGGCCCAAGACAGGAGCCACAGAGGCAGGACTTTCTAGAGAGAGCACCAGATTCCCTTCCCCTGCCTTCAGCTCACAGACCATTGCCTGATTCTGAACTGTATCCTCACGTCCCCTGCAGCCACTCACATCCAGGAGAAGGTTCCATGACAGGCAGAAAGTGGGAGATAGAATCAATGGGATGGGACCTCAGAGCTATTCATGGGATGGGTCCTTGAACTCAGAGAGATAGAATGTCTGAGTCTGCTGTTGGCAACTGAGGGACCTCAGGCACCTATGGCCTCCCCCTGTTTGTTGGTATCTGCTTATGAAATGAGGACCCAGAAGTGCCCTCCGAGCTCTTTTGTTGACTTCCGTCTTCTACAGATGCTGCTGTAATGGACCAAGAGCCTGCAGGGAACAGAACAGTGAACAGCGAGGTAGGTGCTCCTCGGCCCAGCCTCGTGGCTAGTCTTATTCCCAAAGAGTCCTGAAAAATGTGAGCACCCTCCCTCACTCAGCATTTCCCTCTCTCCAGGATTCTGATGAACAAGACCATCAGGAGGTGTCATACGCATAATTGGATCACTGTGTTTTCACACAGAGAAAAATCACTCCCCCTTCTCAGAGGCCCAAGACACCCCCAACAGATACCAGCATGTACATAGAACTTCCAAATGCTGAGCCCAGATCCAAAGTTGTCTTCTGTCCACGAGCACCACAGTCAGGCCTTGAGGGGATCTTCTAGGGAGACAACAGCCCTGTCTCAAAACCGGGTTGCCAGCTCCCATGTACCAGCAGCTGGAATCTGAAGGCATCAGTCTTCATCTTAGGGCATCGCTCTTCCTCACACCACGAATCTGAACATGCCTCTCTCTTGCTTACAAATGTCTAAGGTCCCCACTGCCTGCTGGAGAGAAAACACACTCCTTTGCTTAGCCCACAATTCTCCATTTCACTTGACCCCTGCCCACCTCTCCAACCTAACTGGCTTACTTCCTAGTCTACCTGAGGCTGCAATCACACTGAGGAACTCACAATTCCAAACATACAAGAGGCTGCCTCTTAACACAGCACTTAGACACGTGCTGTTCCACCTCCCTTCAGACTATCTTTCAGCCTTCTGCCAGCAGTAAAACTTATAAATTTTTTAAATAATTTCAATGTAGTTTTCCCGCCTTCAAATAAACATGTCTGCCCTCATGGTTTCGGTAACGAGACTCTTTTCTTGCCTAAGGCTTCCGGTGTTATCATTACCATGTCCACATAACCCCATCTGTTCTCCATTGGGTTCTCAGCCCTGGACTCTGAGCTTCTGGAAGCAGAATGGAGCCTGATTTGTCTCTGAGACTCCAATTTCCATCCAAAGATACAGCACATAGGAGGCTCCAAGGATCGTGAATCACATGAACAAGTGATATTCTTACTCTCTGCAGACCTGGAAAGCTGGCAGAGTCATTCCACGATGAAACATTTGTAGAGTCATAGGCCTTGTTAGTCTCATCTCCACGGGGACACATATCAACATATCATCTTTCATAATATAAATATACAGTCGGTCCTCCATATCTGTGGGGTTTACAGGTGTTTATTGAACCAACAATAAATCAAAAATATTTTCAGAAAAAAATCCCCGAAGTTTCAAGAAGCAAAAAACTATGTTGAATCGACACAAATTGAGTGGCGTGTAGGCTGTGTCAGGAATTATAAGTAATCAAGAGATGATTTCATGTATACAAGAGGATGTGCATGGGTTCTATGCAATTGCTATGCTATTTTTTTTTTTTTGAGACAGTCTCACTCTCTCACCCAGGCTGGAGTGCAGTGGCATGATCTCAGCTCACTGCAACCTCCGCCTCCCAGGTTCAAGCGATTGTCTTCCCTCAGCCTCCCCAGTAGCCTCCCCTAGGATTACAGGCACGTGCCACCATGCACAGATAAATTTTTTTGTGTGTGTATTTTTAGTAGAGACGGGGTTTCAGAATGTCGGACCAGCTGGTCTTGAACTCCTGACCTCGTGATCTACCCAACTCAGCCTCCCAAAGTGCTGGGATTACAGGCGTGAGCCACGGTGCCCAGCTTCGCTATGCCATTTCATGCAAGGGGCTTGAGCATCTGCAGATTTTGGTATCTGAATGGGGATCCTGGAACCAATCACCCAGGAATAGTGAAGGACCACAGTATATAATTTTTATTTGTCAATCTTAAAAATAAAGCATAAAAAGTTTACAACAACAAGATAAAAAATAAGAAGTGTTTTTATAGTGTGAGGATAAGTTTAGATTTATTTTTTCCTACGTGTAACCCTATGGTCCTGTGTTATTTATTGAGAAAATATTCTATTCCACCTTAAACTACATGGCAGCCTTTGTCAACTATAAAGGGACTGTGTATCCACAGATGTATTTTAGACACAGTTTTCTGCCCAGTGGTTCTCTGTATCCCCTCTCATGAGGATGCTGCATTTCATATAAACTTATAGAACCCCTTAAAATTTGGTAACCTGAGTTCTCTGATTTGTTATTATAGGTTATTTAGTTTGCTTTTTTTTTTCTTTCTTGAGACAGACTCTTCCTCTGTCACCCAAGCTGGAGTTCAGTGGCTTGAGCTCAGCTCACTGCAGCCTCCGCCTCCCAGGTTCAAGCAATTCTCGTGCCTCAGGTTTAGTACTAGAAACTCATCAGGAAAATTAGAATGGCTTTTTGTCACAATTACTCTGATAATGTTAATAATACCTCTTAGATATTTTGCACATTACACATGAAGAAAAGTTTGAATCTCAGATAAAAACAAAAATACATCAAAAGTCTTTAATGTAAGCACAGAATTCAATCACCTCATGTGTGAGAGGTTGGATCTGAGACATCTTTTGAGTCTGGTCATAGTGAAGGATGCAAGGTGGCAATTGTAGTCACAACAATTTCCAGGAAGCCATGTTCCGCTCTTGAGCGAGCACCCACTGGGCCTCATGCAAGGTAGAAAGAGCCTGCGTACGTCACCCTCCCATGATGTGGTCAACATGTAAACTGCATGGGCAGGGCGCCAAATAACATCCTGTGCGCTGCTGAGCTGAGCTGGGGCGCGGCCTCCTGTCTGCACCGGCAGCACCATGTCGCTCACTGTCGTCAGCATGGCGTGCGTTGGTGAGTCCTGGAAGGGAATAGAGGGAGGGAGAGTGGGGATGGAGATCTCGGCCTAGAGGTAAAGATATGGGCCTGGAGTGGAGATATGGGCCTGGAGTGGAGATATGGGCCTGGGTGTGGAGATATGGGCCTGGAGGTGTAAATATGGGCCTGGAGTGGAGATATGGGCCTGGAGGGGAGATATGGGCCTGGGTGTGGAGATATGGGCCTGGAGTGGAGATACGGGCCTGGAGTGGAGATCTGGGCCTGGAGTGGAGATATGGGCCTGGAGTGGAGATATGGGTCTGATGTGGAGATATGGGCCTGGAGTGGAGATATGGGCCTGGAGTGGAGATATGGGCCTAGAGGGGAGATCTGGGCCTGGAGTGGAGATATGGGTCTGATGTGGAGATATGGGCCTGGAGTGGAGATATGGGCCTGGAGTGGAGATAGGGGCCTGGAGTGGAGATATGGGCCTGGAGTGGAGATCTGGGCCAGGAAGTGTTGATCTGGGCCTGGAGCCTGGGTCTCTCCACAGCTGAGAGCCCTGTTCTTGGCAGCAGGTAGCAGGGAGGCTAAGTTTACCTTCAGCCCAGCAAGGGCCTGGCTGCCAAGACACACAGTGCAGTGGGGGCAGCAGGGTGCCCTGGTTTGCCTGCAGTTGGATCGTCTATCATGATCTTTCTTTCCAGGGTTCTTCTTGCTGCAGGGGGCCTGGCCACTCATGGGTGAGTCCTTCCCCAAACCTTAGGGTGTCATCTCCCCACATAAGAGGATTTTTCTGAAACAGGAGGGAAGTCCTGTCGGGGAGTCTCTCATAAACTAGGAAGAGGGGACCCTTGGATACTCGGCCCACATTTCTGACCTCGCCCTCCCCGGCCTTTCTTTCCCTTTCCTGAGTCAAGCTCTGTGAAGACTGGGGTGAGACTGGGGTGCTCCAAGCTGGGGTGTGCAGGGAGGAAGTGGTGTCAGCAGCAGAGAAAGAGAGGGAAGCAGTGCTAGGAACAGCAGGTCCTCTGAGGACAAAGGTATAACTGACACCCTCCAGCGTTTCCGTGACGGTAGGGGCTGCAGTGTGGCTGCGGTCTTTCTACCAGAAGAGGGGGGAAACCACAGCCATGGCCCTGACATTCCAAATCCTCTGAGGGGGCTCAGTTCATGAATTGGCTGATATTCCATTCACATAGGACATGCCCTCCATGCCGTGTCTACTTTGTGTTATTTTATGTGAGTAATTTTGCAGTATTAAAATCTAGTAAGAGTCACTTATTCAGCACTTGCTCAAAGTTCTCAGCTGACACTTGTTGTAGGGAGACGCCATGTCTATGTGGGGTGGGTCCTTCCTGTAGCCCTGGGCACCCAGGTGTGGTAGGAGCCTTAGAAAGCGGAAATGGGAGAATCTTCTGAGCACAGGGAGGGAGGGGTGGCTCCACATCCTCCTCTCTAAGGCAGTGCCTCCTTCTCCCCCAGGTGGTCAGGACAAACCCTTCCTGTCTGCCCGGCCCAGCACTGTGGTGCCTCAAGGAGGACACGTGGCTCTTCAGTGTCACTATCGTCGTGGGTTTAACAATTTCATGCTGTACAAAGAAGACAGAAGCCACGTTCCCATCTTCCACGGCAGAATATTCCAGGAGAGCTTCATCATGGGCCCTGTGACCCCAGCACATGCAGGGACCTACAGATGTCGGGGTTCACGCCCACACTCCCTCACTGGGTGGTCGGCACCCAGCAACCCCCTGGTGATCATGGTCACAGGTCAGAGGCTTTCTGTCTGGGCTTCTCACTGTCCCACCTCCTGAATCCCAGAGCTTCTGGTGGGGGTGTCCATCAGGGTCCCATCACCCAGGCCCCAACTGTATTTGGGGTCAAGGGGGATTGAATACAGGGGAAATGGGCGCTGTGGTGGGAAGAATCACTGTCGCCAATGATGGCTACATTGTAAACCCTGGAGCCTGTGACTATTTATGTTATAGGGCAGGGGACTGAAGGGGAAGGTGGAGCTCAGGTTGTTGATGAGTTGACCTTGAGATGGGGAGACAGCCTGGACTGTCCTGCTGGGCTCAGTGTAATCACAAGGGTCCGCGTGAGAGGTGGAGGAAGAGGGGAGTGGGGATTAGAGCAGTGTAGTGGGAGGGAGACGCTATCAGCCACTGTGGGCTTTGAAGGTGGAGGAAGGCCACTAGTCACAGAATGCAGGTGGCCTCTAAGGGCTGGAGAAGTCAAGAGAACTGATTCGCTGAGTCTCCAGAGGGAACGCAGCCCTGCAGATGCCTTGATTTCAGCACAGGGAGAACTGGATCCAATTTCTGTCCCCAGAAGTGGAAGGGGTCAGTGTGTTCTCTCCTGCTGCCATGTTTGTGATAATTTTCTGCAGCAGCAACAGGAAACCGACACAGGAACCCAGGTCAAGGACAAGCTAGGAAACCAAACAAGGATAGCCAGGTGTGGTGGTGGGCACGAGTAATCCAACGACTGGGGAGGCTGAGGCAAGAGAATCACTTGAACCAGGGAGGCAGAGGTTGCAGTGAGCCAAGACAACACCACTGCACTCCAGCCTGGGTGAAAAAGTGACTGTCTCAAAAATAAATTAATTAATCAATTAATTAAAGAAACCAAACAAGGAGAAGGTTGGCTACCGTGGGATCAGCAAGGGTGGGATGCTGATGCCACCACCAGGCTCCATCCACATAGGAAGGGGTTGATGCTCCTGGAACCAGCACCAGGGACCACCCTATGGAAGCTGGGGCCATGGAGAAGGCACAGACATGGCAGGAGAGGCTCCCAATCCCCATCAGGAACAGGGTGTGTGGACACTGATGTCTGCCTTACTGATGAGTTGATACCTCTGCCAGAGACTCCAATTTGTTCAAAAGAGATTGATTCAGGCTGCTGAGAGCCTGGACATGCAGCCTGTCCTCTTCCACCCCCACATAGACAGCAGGAAAGAGACTAGTGGGAAAGAGATACAACAGCCCAAGAGATGAGGCTCTCTTCACAGTGGGAAGGGAGTCAGGGGCTACTGGAGACAGAGGGACAGAGAAGAGGGAGGAAGACAAATGGAGGGACCTGCACCAGGGGATATGGGCACAGAAAAGACACGGAGACACAGAGAGGGAGGAGAGAGACAGACCTCTGGGAGGGGAACCCTCACTCATTCCAGGTGCCATGGATGGGATGATAAAGAGAGATGCCTTCTAAACTCACAACTTCTCTTTCTAGGAAACCACAGAAAACCTTCCCTCCTGGCCCACCCAGGGACCCTGCTGAAATCAGGAGAGACAGTCATCCTGCAATGTTGGTCAGATGTCATGTTTGAGCACTTCTTTCTGCACAGAGAGGGGATCTCTGAGGACCCCTCACGCCTCGTTGGACAGATCCATGATGGGGTCTCCAAGGCCAACTTCTCCATCGGTCCCTTGATGCCTGTCCTTGCAGGAACCTACAGATGTTATGGTTCTGTTCCTCACTCCCCCTATCAGTTGTCAGCTCCCAGTGACCCCCTGGACATCGTGATCACAGGTGAGAGTGTCCAGACATTCTTCTCGTTGTCATTGGGACACAGAGTGAATGATCCAGGACTTGGAACCCCCAGGTGGTCATGAGGAAGATAAGCGTGGGATTCTTATGGAGAGAGACTGACTCGGTGAGGTCTGTACCAACAGAGACAGGGAAACAGGAGACATAAGTACAGACCAGGTGTCATAACAGAGGACAGACACAGGGGCCATACGGGGAAGTAGAAAAGAGAGAAAGAGGTAAAGGAGACACTCAGACAGACAGACATGTGCCAGAGAGAAGTGTCCTTCCATGCTGACTTTGCTCAGAGACCTGGCACAGGTTAGAAGTTTCATTTCTGTTTTGTCTCCACAAAGTGCTTCTACGAGGAGAACCCAAGGACACCCATATTTCTGACCTGAGTTGGGCCCTGTGGCCTCAGGCCTTGTGGCATCTACAGATGCCATGTTTATTCTGACACCTCTGCCTTCCATGCAGTGGAGCCATAATTATCCCAGGATATCATGGCCCCAGAACACCAACCCCTAAATACTGTGTGTACTTGGTGTCCCCAGACTAGATTCTGAGGCTCATATTCCAAATAATCCTACATATAATAGGATCACTGAGAGACACAGAGATAAATCAGGGACTTCAAAAAGCAAAGGCATAAACACACAGAGAATGAGCCAGAGGAAGGGGATTGAGAGACTCACAGACACACAAAAAGAAAGAAAAGAGGGCAGAGGAGTGGAGAGAATGCTGGAAGGGAGGAGAGAAAAGCCCCAAAATCAGAACCCTGAGGGAGGGGCACAAAGACAGAGAAAGATAAAGATGTGGGGATGGATTGCAGAGATTCCAAATAGAACTAGAGAGACTGAGAGGCAGAGAAAGACAAGGAGATGGAGAGAGACAGATGATAGATGGATAGATAGATATAGATAGATGATAAATAGGTAGATGATAGATAATGGATAGGTTATAGATACATAGATGATGATTGATAGATGATACATAGAGATGATGATGATGATGATGATGAAGATAGATAGATAGAAGACACATATATAAATATATAGATACATAGATGATACATAGAGACTGACAGGCAGACAGAGAGGTAATAGAGAGAGAGAGAGATGATACATAGATACAGATAATACATAGATGATTGATGGATAGACAGATAGACAATTGATAGATAAATGATACATAGATATAGATGACAGATAATTTGTAGATAGACACAAAATAGATAGATAGATAATAGATAGAAATATGCAGAAAGTTATGAACAAGACAGAAAGTGAGAGACTCAGAATTATAGAAAAAGGAAGATCAAGTCAACCAATCCAAGGAGAGTCAGAGAGAATAAAACAATCCAAAAAGGGAAAGCATACCCAGGGGTGGGGAAGTGAGGTCAGAGACCTAGAGAGACAGAGAAGGCAGAAGGAGGAAATAGACATGAAGAGAGTTGGGGTGGAGGGTGAGAGAGAGAGAGAGCATTAGGTCATAGAGCAGGGGAGTGAGTTCTCAGCTCAGGTATGAGGGGAGCTGTGACAAGGAAGAACCTCCCTGAGGAAACTGCCTCTTCTCCTTCCAGGTCTATATGAGAAACCTTCTCTCTCAGCCCAGCCGGGCCCCACGGTTCAGGCAGGAGAGAACGTGACCTTGTCCTGTAGCTCCTGGAGCTCCTATGACATCTACCATCTGTCCAGGGAAGGGGAGGCCCATGAACGTAGGCTCCGTGCAGTGCCCAAGGTCAACAGAACATTCCAGGCAGACTTTCCTCTGGGCCCTGCCACCCACGGAGGGACCTACAGATGCTTCGGCTCTTTCCGTGCCCTGCCCTGCGTGTGGTCAAACTCAAGTGACCCACTGCTTGTTTCTGTCACAGGTGAGGAAAACCCGTGTCTGTCCCATGTCTTATGATCCTAGAGCCATAGCTGAGGAGCTTCCTGCCGATGATGGGGAGAAGCATGGACAGATGCAGAGAGAACACGAAGACTGGGTGTGAGGGGGGGGGTCAGGGTGCAGGATGGCAGACAGGGCACCTCCAAACCCTCTTGCATGGCCTGCATGGAGGCCCATGGTCAGGGCTCCAGGCACCCAGGCAGATGGAGAAAGCGGTCAGGACAGACCCAGAGAAGGGGAGACTGGGCTCAGTTTGGGGAGATCAGAGGTTCCCTCAGCCCCTCAACCTTACCCATTTCCCAGAAGCCCATCCTGGCCTCTCACCCACACAGAGAGATGTCATCACCAGCAACCCCTACACTCTTTTCTTTTCATTTTCAAAAATATTTATTGAGGTTAAATGTAACTATATAATTTACCAACTTTACCATTTTTAAAAGTAAAATCTAGTGGTCATAAATACCTTTATATGCTGGGTGTGGTGGTTCACGGTTGTAATCTTGGCGCTTTGAGAGGCCAAGAAAGGTGGATCATTTAAGATCAGGGACTCGAGATCAGCCTGGCCAACATGCGGGAAATTCATCTTTACTAAACAGACAAGAAAAATTAGCCAAGCATGCCGGCATGCACCTGTAGTCCTAGCTACTTGGGAGGCTGAGGCAGGAGAAGCACTTAAAGCCAGGAGGCAGAGGTTGCACTGAGCCGAGATCATGCCACTGCACTGCAGCCTGGGAGACAGAGAGAGACTCTGTTTCTAAATAAATAAATACATCTATATTCTTTTTTTTGTTACCCTCCACCCTTCCCTTCCTGGCCTCTGGTATCCACCATTCTATTCTCTACCTTCATGAGATCCACCTTTTATCTCCTGCATGTGGTGAGAAATGGGAATCTTTGTAATGACCTCCAGTTCCATCCATGTGGCTGCAAATGACAGGATGTTATTGTTTCTATGGATGAGTAGTCTCCACCGTGTGTGTGTACTACAGTTCTCTATCCATTCACCCACTGATAGGCAGGTAGGTTGACTCCACATCTTGGCTACTGTGAACAGTGCTGGAACAGTCATTTGAGTGCAGATATCACTTCGATACACTGATGTCCTTTCCTTTGGATATAAACCCAGTAGTGAAATTGCTGGACACTATGAAAGTTCTCTTTTTTTTTTTTTCTTTTTTGAGAAAGAGTTTCCCTCCTTAGTCCAAGCTGGAGTCAAAGTGGTGCGATCTTGGCTCATTGCAACCTCTGCTTCCTAGGTTCAAACGATTCTCCTGACTCAGCCTCCCTAATAGCTGTGATTACAGGTGCACGCCACCATGCCTGACTAATTCTTGTATTTTTTAGCACAGACGGGATATCCCAATTTTGGGCAGGCTGCTCTCAAACTCCTGACCTCAAGTGAGGTGCCTGCCTCGGTTTCCCAAAGTGCTGAAGTTACAGGCATAAGCCACTATGCCCAGCCTCCTTTTAGTTTTTTAAAGTTTTTCCATACTTTTCTCCATAATAGTTGTACTAATTTACATTCCTACCAACAGGGTACCAGGGTTCTCCTTTCTCTACCATCTTGCCAGCATTTGTTTTGCCTGTCTTGCAGATAAAAGCCATTTTACTTTACTTTATTTATTTATTTATTTATGTTGAGATGGAGTTTCACTCATAGTCGCCCAGGCTGGAGTGCAAGGGTGTGATCTCGGCTCACTGCAACCTCTGCCTCCCGCGTTCAACTGATTCTCCTGCCTCAGCCTCCAAAGTAGCTGGGATTACAGGCATGTGCCACCACGCCTAGCTAATTTTTGTATGTTTAGTAGAGAGGGAGTTTCTCCATGTTGGTCAGGCTGGTCTCCCGACCTCAGGTGATCCGCCCACCTCCGCCTCCCAAAGTGCTGGAATTACAGGCGTGAGCCACCGGCCTAAAAGGCATTTTAATGGGATGAGATGAAAACTCATCGCGATTGTAATTTACATTTCTGTGATGATGAGTGATGCTGAGCACTTTTTCATATACGTGATCGCCATTTCTATGTTTTGTTTGTGGAGAAATGTCTCCTCATGTCTTTTGCTCGTTTTTTAATTAAATTGTTTTATTGAGTTGTTTGAGCTTCTTATATTTCCAGTTATTAATCCCATCTCAGATGAATAGTTTGCAAATATTTGCTCCTATTTTGTGGGTTGTCTCTTCACTTTGTTGGTTTATCTTTGGTGGTGCAGAAGTTGCTTGGTTTGATGTAATCCTAATGGTCTATTTTTTGCTTTGATTACTTGTGTTTTGAAGGTTTTAAACAAAATGTCTTTCGTCAGACAAATGTCTTCCCCATTATTTTCTTCTACATGTTTCATAGGTTCAGGCCTTAGACTCATGTTTTTAATCCATTTTCATTTGATTTTTGTGTAAGGTGACAGGTATAGATGCAGTTTTATTCCTCTGCATGTAGATATCCAGTTTTCCCCACACCATTTATTGAAGACTGTCCTTTCTTGATTGTAAGTTCTCGGCACCTTTGTCAAAGTCCATTAAATGGGCTGGGCATGGTGGCTCACACCTGCAATTCCAGCACTTTGGGAGGCCGAGGCGGGTGGATCACCTAAAGCCAGGAGTTCAAGACCAGGCTGGCCAACAGAGTGAAACCTCGTCTCTACTAAAAATACAAAAATTAGCTGAGCATGGTGATCAGTGCCTGTAATACCACTACTCAGGAGTTTGAAGCAAGAGAATTTCTTGAATCCAGGAAGTGGAGGTTGCATTGAGCTGAGATTGCACCTCTACACTCCAGCCTGCATGACAGAGCAAGATTCCATCACACACACACAAAAGAAAGCCATTGGATGTAAATGCATGGATTATATCTGTGTTCTCCATTCTGTTCCATTTTTTATGTGCCTTTCTTTATGCCAATGTCATGCTGTTTTGCTTACTACAGCTCTGTAACATATTTCTAAGTCAGGTAGTGTGATGCTCCTGTTTTCTCTTTATACCTTCAAGTCTCAAGACAGTGGGCATCGCACACAAAAATTATGGAGAAAAGGATCCCAAGACTCCCAGGGTCCAACATTAGATAACAGAGTGTTGGCCATGAACCAACCTCAAAGATTTCCATTGAGTAGAGGACAAGCACCCTCATTTCCTCACATCTCTCCTGTCCCGTGTTCTAGGAAACCCTTCAAGTAGTTGGCCTTCACCCACAGAACCAAGCTCCAAATCTGGTGAGTAAAGGACCCCTCTTATCTCTGCTTTTGGAAACCTGGGGAGGTGGAAGCCTTGGATGCAAGTGTTGGCTCAAACCTCCCAGCTCTGTGAATGAGGGCCTGTCTTCCACCATCTCTGAACTCCAGACACTCCAACAGTGAAAGGGATCTAGGGCCACCAAAGGGCTCAGCGAAGTCTCTTTACCTTTAATTTCCTGCAGGTGAGACCTCCTACAAGCTAGAAGAATAATTGCCAATCTGACATCCTTCTCAGGAAAAATGCAGTGTTTTTTCTGCCTGCATTCCTAACTGGAGGATAAATTCCCGGGGGCTTGAGAGAGGGAAGGGAAGGGAAGGGAACATCTGATGAGGGTGGGTGTTTTAGAGAAGTTCCACTTGCCAAGGAATGAATTACTGTTGGTCATCAGGCAACCCTGGCTGACTCAGCAGAGCAAGAGCCTTGCCGTAACAGAGAACAGAGCTCATGCACGCACACTTCGACTCACTGACTCATTCAGCCACAGCCCCATGCTCAGGCTGTGCAGTGTGGAAGCTTTTCCTATTGTTGCCATAACAAATTTCCACAAGATTCGTGGGTGAAAACAAAACGGTTATTTAATTATCTTACAGTGCTGTAGCTCAAAGCATGACGTGCATGTCACTGGGCTAAAATCAAGGTGACAGCAAGGCTGCCTTCCCTCTGAGGGTTCCAGGCAAGAATCTGCTTCTCACTTTTCTCAGCTTCTAGAGGCTCCCATGTTCCTTGGCTCCTGGTACCCTTCCTCCTTCCTCAAAGCCCACAAAGACTGGTCACATCTCACATGGCATCACTCAGACCCTTCTTCCTTACCACACCTCTTTCTCTGAATGCTGCTCTCCCTTCTTCCCCTTCTTTTGAAAACTTGGGGATTCTATTGGGTTCACCAAGATGAAAATCCATCATAATCTCCCGGAAATCATCCAGGATACCCTCCTTTTAAGTTCAGCTGACTAGCAACCATAATTCCATCTGCAATCTTCATTCCTCCTTTCATGTAAAATAACATATTCACAAGCTATGGAGGCTAGGACATGGACATTTTTGGGGTGGGACAACATTCTCCTGCCTTCCACAAACAGTGAACAAGATGCATTTGGCCTCTGTTCTTGGGACACTGATCTTGCAGATGGTTAAATGGGAGGGCAGAAAATGTAGGCACAAGGGGACCAATAAATGAATGATCTATTGAGAAGCATCTGTGCATGAAATCTATTTATTTATGTATTTACCTACTTGTTTATTGAGACGGAGCCTTGCTCTGTCGTCCAGGCTAGAGTGCGGTGGCATGATCTCGGCTCACTGCAACCTCCACCTCCTGGGCTGAACTGATCTCCTCCCTCAGCCTCTCCAGTAGCTGGGATTACAGACCACAACCACCACGCCCGGCTAACTCTTTTTGCATATTTTCTGTAGAGAGGATGTTTCACCATGTTGGCCAGGCTGGTCTCAAATTCCCAACCTCAGGTGATCCAATAGCCTCTGCCTCCCAACACGCTGGGATAAGAGGCATGAGCCACGGGGCCAAGCCAAATTTTCAAATCAATAATAGATAATGCTGAGTGTATGATTTCAGGTGACAGAGAAGTTCTCACTAATCAGATATTTGTGACATTAATGAAAAACACGGATTGAACCCCTGGAAGATTGGCAGAAGGATTTTCCACACACAGCTGTCAGCCGTGAAGGCACAAAGGTGAAAACAATCTGATGTGGAAGGAAGAGGCTCTTCCTCAAATGCTGGGAATGAAGTGGGGAGAATGACAAGACGACTGTGGAGAGACGGAGAGCACACTGGGTACACAGGAAACTAAGGAGGAACAAGGAGCGTGTGTTTGACACTCACAGCCATTGGATTCACCTCGGGGTAGCCAGGAATCCCTACATGATTAATATGACTGACATGAAAATAAGGGAGGCTCAGTTGCATAACTGGAATCTAGGAGACCGTGGAAAAGGCAATTGCCGCCCCACTGGTGAAATGTGGTGCTGATTTAGACACTAAATGAATGAAGTAGATGGATATAAGATATGTTTGTGAGGTAGAATCATTGGCTGGAAAGGCTTGCTGGGTTTAATTTTTCCTGGTAGTTTAATCCTCGCTTCACTAACTTATTTCTGAGATTTATTTCTCCTGCATCTAAATCAATACCTGGCAGAGGAGGGAGAGCTAGATGAGGGGTGGTGCAAATGAAGGGACCTAGTATAGCATAATATACAAGGCTGTGAACGGTGGCTCACGCCTGTAACCCAGCACTTCAGGAGGCCAACGCGGGTGGATCACATGAAGTCAGGAGTTCGAGACCAGCCTGGCCAACATGGAGAAACCCTATCTCTACTAAAAATACAAAAATTAAACAGGCATGATGGTGGTGCATGACTGTAATCCCAGCTACTCTGGAGGAGGAAGCAGGAGAATGACTTCAGCCCTGGAGGCAGAGGTTGCAGTGAGTGGAGATCGCATCACTGCACACCAGCCTGGGCTACACAGGGATACTCTGTCTCAAAAAATAAAAATAAAAAATACATAAATATAATAATATACACAAATGATGCAGGCACCTGAATTCCAATCATCATTTTTCTATTCCTCTATAATTACTTCTTTGATCCTTTATCTTATCCATTAGAAAATCAGCCTAAAACCTCTTCCATATTTGGCTTTCTGTGAACATGAGATCATATGGAAAATATGAAAGCCCCCTGAACCCACCAGCACAGGCCCTGAAATAGGGAAAGTGCTCTGTTCATCACAAGAAACTTTCCCCCTCACCCAAATCCCCCACCTCACCCCTACTTCCAATCACCTGTGGAGATACAGATAGATCATGGGGAGGTAAACGCTAATACTCCTTGGAGTGAGTTCAGATCTTGGAATCAGAGATCAGCACCAGCACTAGCTCCTGCTCCCCTTTCCTACTAATTCACAGGAGGACAGGTGGTTTTGAAGCAATAGATGGTGGAGGGGGTGGTCTTTCCCCCAGCCTCTCAGGTGGAACAGCAGCCTAACATGTGTCTCGCGAGATCACAAAGAGTAGCACGTTTCACATGGGCTTCATCATTATTTCCTGGCTGTTTGACATAAGAGAATTCTACTTTGCTTTTTTGATCTTGATTTCACTTTTGTGTCCTTTTCTTGGAGAATGTAATTTGAGTCAAGAGGGTTGTGGATGTAGAAACTGTAAAGCACATTCACTGTGTATCAATCCCAGTCCAGTCTTTCCAGAGAAGACTCTAAACACCTGCTGTACTGCACCTGGGCCTATGCCAATTTCTATCACTCACCGTCACTCCAGGGAGACAGAACACACAGAGAATACGTTACATAGGCAGGTTCATTACTAACAGATAAGCAGCGAGTGACAACAGAAGCCTACATTTCAATGTGAGCCAGTCCCTCAAGGCTCAGAAAAGCTGCTCGGGACATATGGAGTGACCTCATTTGCAGTGTATCTGGGGGAAGCCAGAAAATAGCCCAGCCCGGGTTTTGTACCCTGAAGCCACAGGAAGCACTCAGCTAAAGCACTGCATGACGTCCTCCTCCAGGAAGAACAGGAAGACAGCTGTTCTGAGACGTTCCTCCTGATCTCAGGACGTTGCTGTCTTAGTCCATTTTTGTTGCTATAAAAGAACACTTGAGCCTGGGTTACTTCTTTTTTTTTTTTTTTTTTTTTTTGTATAGTGCTTCTGATGAGCTTTTTTTTTAAATTTTTATTATTATTATACTTTAAGTTTTAGGGTACATGTGCACAATGTGCAGGTTAGTTACATATGTATACATGTGCCATGCTGGTGTGCTGCACCCATCAACTCGTCATTTAGCATTAGGTATATCTCCTAATGCTATCCCTCCCCCCTCCCCCCACCCCACAACAGTCCCCAGAGTGTGATGTTCCCCTTCCTGTGTCCATGTGTTCTCATTGTTCAATTCCCACCTATAAGTGAGAACATGCGGTGTTTGGATTTTTGTCCTTGTGATAGTTTACTGAGAATGATGATTTCCAATTTCATCCATGTCCCTGCAAAGGACATGAACTCATCATTTTTTATGGCTGCATAGTATTCCATGGTGTATATGTGCCACATTTTCTTCATCCAGTCTATCATTGTTGGACATTTGGGTTGGTTCCAAGTCTTTGCTATTGTGAATAGTGCCACAATAAACATACGTGTCCATGTGTCTTTATAGCAGCATGATTTATAGTCCTTTGGGTTTATACCCAGTAATGGGATGGCTGGGTCAAATGGTATTTCAAGCTCTAGATCCCTGAGGAATCGCCACACTGACTTCCACAATGGTTGAACTAGTTTACAGTCCCACTAACAGTGTAAAAGTGTTCCTATTTCTCCACATCCTCTCCAGCACCTGTTGTTTCCCGACTTTTTAATGATCGCCATTCTAACTGGTGTGAGATGGTATCTCATTGTGGTTTTGATTTGCATTTCTCTGTTGGCCAGTCATGGTGAACATTTTTTCATGTGTTTTTTGGCTGCATAAATGTCTTCTTTTGAGAAGTGTCTGTTCATGTCCTTTGCCCACTTTTTGATAGGGTTGTTTGTTTTTTTCTTGTAAATTTGTTTGAGTTCATTGTAGATTCTGGATATTAGCCCTTTGTCAGATGAGTAGGTTGCAAAAATTTTCTCCCATTTTGTAGGTTGTCTGTTCACTCTGATGGTAGTTTCTTTTGCTGTGCAGAAGCTCTTTAGTTTAATTAGATCCCGTTTGTCAATTTTGGCTTTTGTTGCCATTGCTCTTGGTGTTTTAGACATGAAGTCCTTGTCCATGCCTATGTCCTGAATGGTAATGCCTAGGTTTTCTTCTAGGGTTTTTATGGTTTTAGGTCTAACGTTTAAGTCTTTAATCCATCTCAAATTATTTTTGTATAAGGTGTAAGGAAGGGATCCAGTTTCAGCTTTCTACCTATGGCTAGCCAGTTTTCCCAGCACCATTTATTAAATAGGGAATCCTTTCCCCATTGCTTGTTTTTCTCAGGTTTGTCAAAGATCAGATAGTTGTAGATATGTGGCATTATTTCTGAGGGCTCTATTCTGTTCCATTGATCTATATCTCTGTTTTGGTACCAGTACCATGCTGTTTTGGTTACTGTAGCCTTGTAGTATAGTTTGAAGTCAGGCAGCATGATGCCTCCAGCTTTGTTCTTTTGGCTTAGGATTGATTTGGCAATGCAGGCTCTTTTTTGATTCCATATGAACTTTAAGGTAGTTTTTTCCAATTCTGTGAAGAAAGTCATTGGTAGCTTGATGGGGATGGCATTGAATCTATAAATTACCTTGGGCAGTATGGCCATTTTCACGATCTTGATTCTTCCTACCCATGAGCATGGAATGTTCTTCCATTTCTTTGTATCCTCTTTTATTTCATTGAGCAGTGGTTTGTAGTTCTCCTTGAAGAGGTCCTTCATATCCCTTGTAAGTTGGATTCCTAGGTATTTTATTCTCTTTGAAGCAATTGTGAATGGGAGTTCACTCATGATTTGGCTCTCTGTTTGTCTGTTATTGGTGTATAAGAATGCTTGTGATTTTTGTACATTGATTCTGTATCCTGAGACTTTGTAGAAGCTGCTTATCAGCTTAAGGAGATTTTGGGCTGAGACAATGGGGTTTTCTAGATATACAATCATGTCATCTGCAAACAGGGACAATTTGACTTCCTCTTTTCCTAATTGAATACCCTTTATTTCCTTCTCCTGCCTAATTGCCCTGGCCAGAACTTCCAACACTATGTTGAATAGGAGTGGTGAAAGAGGGCATCCCTGTCTTGTGCCAGTTTTCAAAGGGAATGCTTCCAGTTTTTGCCCATTCAGTATGATACTGGCTGTGGGTTTGTTATAGATGGCTCTTATTATTTTGAGATACGTCCCATCAATACCTAATTTATTGAGAGTTTTTAGCATGAAGCGTTGTTGAATTTTGTCAAAGGCCTTTTCTGCATCTATTGAGATAATCGTCCGGTTTTTGTCTTTGGTTCTGTTTATATGATGGATTACATTTATTGATTTGCATATATTGAACCAGCCTTGCATCCCAGAGCCTGGGCAACTTCTAGAGAAAACAGATTTGTTTGCCTCACAGTTCTGCAGGCTGTACTGGAAGCATGGCACCAGCATCTGTTTCCTGTGACGGCCTCAGGCTGCTCCCACTCTGGCAGAAGGGAAGGAGGGTCTGTCTGTGCAGAGACCACAGAGATCACATGGCAAGAGAGGGAGCAAGGGGGAGGGCGAGCGATGGAGCTTCCAAGCTCTTTTTAACAACCAGCTCTCCGGGAACTAATAGAGGGGGAACTTGCTAACCCCATCATGTGGGGCAGCATTAATCTATTCATGATGGATCCACCTCCATGACTCAAACACCTTCCCATAGGCCCAAACTTCCACACTGGGGGTTAAATTTCAATATTTCAGTGTGAGGTTTCAAAGGGTCAAACATCTAAACTAAAGCAGCTGTATCCTCAGCACATTCTATGGTTTCTATGAGAGCTGTAACTGAGAAAGCAGGAGAAAGCTGGGTCTCCCGCCATCAGGCTGCTTGTCCTAAGGAGATGTTCCATGTGGTTACCTGTCAATCAAGAAATGAGACAATCCATAAGGAGGAACTGCTATGATTAGCTTCTTATTGGATTCCCATCTTCCTCCAGGTATCTGCAGACACCTGCATGTTCTGATTGGGACCTCAGTGGTCATCTTCCTCTTCATCCTCCTCCTCTTCTTTCTCCTTTATCGCTGGTGCTCCAACAAAAAGAGTAAGTCTCACGAAGCAGAGGCCAGAGAGCTCAGGGCCGTGTGGGGAAGCAGGATGGGAGCACGCAGGTGTGTGTTCCTCACTGGCAGGATGGTCCCTGGCCCAAGGGAGGAACCACAGAGGCAGGGCTTTCTAGAGAGAGCACCAGACAACCTGCCCCTGCCTTCAGCTCACAGACCATTGCCTGGTTCTGAACTGTATCCTCACATCCCCTGCAGCCACTGACATCCAGAAGGTTCCATGACAGGCAGAAAGTGGGAGACAGAATCAATGGGATGCCAATTGAGAACACTTCATGGGATGGGGTCTTGAACTCAGAGAGATAGAATGTCTGAGTCTGGATGTTGGCAGCTGAAGAGCCTCAGGCACCTACAGCCTCCCCCTGTGGGTTGGTGTCTGCCCATGAAATGAGGACCCAGAAGGGCCCTCCAAGCGGTTTTGATGACTTCTGTCTCCTACAGATGCTGCTGTAATGGACCAAGAGCCTGCGGGGGACAGAACAGTGAATAGGCAGGTAGGTCCTCCTCGGCCCAGCCTCACGGATACAGTCTTATCCCTAATAGTCCTGAAAAATGTGAGCACCCTCCCTCACTCAGCATTTCCCTCTCTCCAGGACTCTGATGAACAAGACCCTCAGGAGGTGACGTACGCACAGTTGGATCACTGCGTTTTCATACAGAGAAAAATCAGTCGCCCTTCTCAGAGGCCCAAGACACCCCCAACAGATACCAGCGTGTACACGGAACTTCCAAATGCTGAGCCCAGATCCAAAGTTGTCTCCTGCCCACGAGCACCACAGTCAGGTCTTGAGGGGGTTTTCTAGGGAGACAACAGCCCTGTCTCAAAACCAGGTTGCCAGCTCCCATGAACCAGCAGCTGGAATCTGAAGGCGTCAGTCTTCATCTTAGGGCATTGCTCTTCCTCACACCACTAATCTGAACATGCCTCTCTCTTGCTTACAAATGTCTAAGGTCCCCACTGCCTGCTGGAGAGAAAACACACTCCTTTGCTTAGCCCACAATTCTCCATTTCACTTGACCCCTGCCCACCTCTCCAACCTAACTGGCTTACTTCCTAGTCCTACTTGAGGCTGCAATCACACTGAGGAACTCACAATTCCAAACATGCAAGAGGCTCCCTCTTAACACGGCACTTACACACTTGCTGTTCCACCTTCCCTCATGCTGTTCCACCTCCCCTCAGACTATCTTTCAGCCTTCTGCCATCAGTAAAATTTATAAATTTTTTTTATAACTTTAGTGTAGCTCTCTCCTCTTCAAATAAACATGTCTCCCCTCATGGTTTTGATAATGTGACTCTTTATTCGCCAAAAGTTTCCAGTGTTATCATTACTATGTCCATATAACCTGATATGTTCTCTACTGGGTTCTCAGCCCTGGACTCTGAGCTTCTGGAAGCATGGTGGAGCCTCATTTGTCTCTGGGACTCCAATTTCCATCCAAAGATGCAGCACATAGGAGGTTCCAAGGATCGTGAATCACATGAACAAGTGATATTCTTACTCTCTGCAGACCTGGAAAGCTGGCAGAGTCACTCCAAGATGAAACATTTGTAGAGTCATAGGCCTTGTTAGTCTCATCTCCACAGGGACACATGTCAACACATCATCTTTCATACTATAAATATACAGTCGCTCCTCCATATCTGTGGGGTTTACAGGTGTTTATTGAACCAAATATAAATCAAAAATATTCAGAGAAAAAATCCACAAAGTTCCAAAAAGCAAAAATACTATATTGTATGGACACAAGTGAGGTGGTGTGTAGGCTGTATCAGGAATTATAAGTAATCTAGAGATGATTTCATGTATACAGGAGGATGTGCATGGGTTATATGCAAACGCTGTGCCATTTCATGCAAGAGGCTTGAGCATCTGCAGATTTTGGTGTCTGGTAGGGAGGGGGGTTTCCTGGAACCAATCACCCATGAATAGTGAAGGACAACTGTATATAATTTTCATTCATCAATTTTATAAATAAATCATCAAAATGTATGATAATAAGATAAAAAATTAGCAGTGTTTTTATGGTGTGAAAATAAGCTTAGATTTATTTTTTCCTGCTTGTAACCCTCTGGTCCAATGTTATTTACTGAGAAGACATTCTATTCCACCTTAATCCGCATGGCAGCCTCTGTCAACCATAAAAGGACTGTGTGTACACAGATGTATTTTACACACTCTTTTCTGCTCAGTGGCTCTCTGTGTCCACTCTCATGAGGATGCTGCACTTTATGTGGCCTTATAGAACCCCTTAAAATTTGGCAGCCTGAATCCTCTAATTTCTCCTTCCTCTTTAAGATTGCCATTATTATTATTATTGGCTATTTGCTTTTCCATGTAAATTTGTAATCATTTTTCTCATTTCCACCAAAAACAATGCTTGTAATTTTGTTGTGACTCCCTTACATCTACAGGTAAGTTCTGTCCTATAGAAACATAATGCAAACCGCATGCATTCTTTCAAACTTGCTAGTATCCAAATTAAAAAGCTAACAAGAAACAGATAAAATTAATTTAAGTTAACCCAATGGACCCAAAATATTATTAACCCAACAGACCCAAAATATTAACCTAATAGATCCAAAATATTATTTTATTATCCAAGTAGACTCAAAATATTATCATTTCAACATGTAATCATGTGTCATCTTGGAAAATATCAGATCCCTGTCTAGGTGGGCAAAGATTTTTCTTCGTAATATCTCATTTCCACATTTCCACTTGGCACAGAAACTGCCCCCAAGGCTCAGGATACTAAGATGCAGTAGGAATGGGTAGATGTATCTGGAGGAAAGTGACTGAATGAAATTGAGACATCAGAGTCTGGGGAACTCACTAGAACTACAGGGACAGTGTGGGGGAGGGAATTGGGAGATGTTGATCAAAGGATACAAACTATCAGGTATTCAGGAGGAATGGGTCTGAAGATCTCTTGTACAGCTTTGCCACTATGGTTGACAATACTGTACTCTATACTTGAAATTTACCAGGAAAGTAGATTTTTTTTTTTAAATATGGAACACTTCACGAATTTGCGTGTCATTCTTGCGCAGGGGCCATGCTAGTTTTCTCTGTATCGTTCCAATTTTAGTATATGTGCTGCCGAGGCAAGCATGGGAGAGTAGATTTTTTTTTTTTTTTTTTTTGAGCTGGAGTCTTGCTCTGTCACCCAGGCTGGAGTGCAGTGGCGCGATCTCGGCTCACCGCAAGCTCCGCCTCCTGGGTTCACGCCATTCTCCTGCCTCAGCCTCCCGAGTAGCTGGGACTACAGGCGCCCGCCACCACGCCCGGCTAATTTTTTGTATTTTT